>NT_187605.1:0-244917 GCF_000001405.40 Homo sapiens | reverse complement strand
AAGCTTTTGGATTCAACTGTAAAAACAGCAGCCCACTCGGGTCCCTTCTCCACTGTGGAGAGCTTTCTTTCTTTTGCTTATAAAAGTTTTGCTCCAACCTCACCCTTGTGTCCAGGCTCCTTAATTTTCTTGGTTGTGAGACAATGAGCTCAGATAACACCTCAGACTACAAGACCATTGACCCTAGACAGTTTCATTAGTATTGAGTTGTAGTGATTTCAAGAAGGCAGTTTGTTATCTTTATTCATATGGCCATGCTATATAGAGTCTGACTGGTTTATTACATTTTTGTGACTTATAAATGACAGTGTTATTTGTGAAGCTATCATCTTAGAACTGTACTTCTTCCAAGCAAGTGAATACCAGCTATAGAATTATCTAAAGAAAATGCACACTTTTTTAGTGCTTGGACCATTTAGGTATATGTGGGCCCTGGCCCTGGCCCTTCTCCCATGACATAAATTTCATAAGACAAAATTTTAACACTACTTTTGGCATCAGCATTTGAGAATTTATATTTTTTCCATATGATAACTTTTCCTTATTTATATTCACATCTGTGGTTAAGCCCTTCAGATCTTGTAAATTACACAAAAAAACAGAAAAGACAAAAACCTTAAATCTTAATTATCTTTCCCTGAAACGCATTTCTCCTGAATACTTTATTGTAGTTACATACCATTGACTGTTTCTTGTATAGAAACCAAGCCTGTCTGTAGATCTTAAATTAATGACTAAGAGGATTAAGTAAATGTACACCAAGTTGTGTATGTTGGAATTTCTTGAAAGAGAGTATCCAGTATTTTTCTGATATATTATGCATGTGTAAATTTAAAATTATAATGAAACACTTTTTTTGGTTTGTTTCCCAAAGTGATTGTATCTTTCAATGTATATAGTAAAGCAAAATGTAACCTATATCTTTGAAATATTGTCAGACACAATAAAATCAGTGATAACATAAGCCTTCCAGGAATTAGAAGCATATGAAAAAATAAAATAAGCAAAGTTGAACTATTTTAAGTTTATTGTTTTAATGGGAAGTGAAAAGCAATATGATCTTAATTATTGCTCATGTAACCGTTTTTTAAAACTTGCTTTAATGTAGCTGATGGATAATGCCTCTGACTATCCTTATTAAAAGTGTTCTCTGGCCAGGCATAGTGGCTCATACCTGTAATCCCAGCACTTTGGGAGGCTAAGGTGAGTGGATCACGAAGTCAGGAGATTGAGACCATCCTGGCCAACAAGGTGAAACCCAGTCTCTACTAAAAATACAAAAATTAGCTGGTCGTGGCGGCAAATGCCTATAATCCCAGCTACTCGGGAGGCTGAGGCCAGAGAATCCTTTGAACCTGGGAGGCAGAGGTTGCAGTGAGCCGAGATCGTGCCACTGAACTCCAGCCTGGAGACAGAGGGAAACTCCGTCTCAAAAAAAGAAAAAAAAAAGAAAAAAATGTTCTCCTCACTTTAGAACTTTTATTTCTCCATCCTTTTGAAAGCATGTCTTCTCTGATGCTTTCAAGTATTAAGCATAGTCATTTCCTAAACTGTTTAATTTAGTGTGTAGTTCATCTTAGTTATTTCATCCTTTGTGACTAGATTTTTTTTCTAGCTTTTGGTAGTGTTTTCTGTAATTAGATACATTATGAGTCATTGGCCAAGTCTGCCAGTTAATTTCTGAATGTCTGTTTCTCTTTTTTCCATAATGATATAGAACCCCTAATTTCCTTCCTTCCTTCCTTCCTTCCTTCCTTCCTTCCTTCCTTCCTTCCTTCCTTCCTTCCTCTCTCTTCTTTTCCTTTTCTTTTCTTTCTTGTTTCACCAGGCTGGAGTGCAGTGGTGCAATCACCTTGAACTCCTGGATTCAAGCAGTCCTCCCACCTCAGCCTCTCAAGTAGCTAGGACTATAGGCATATACCACTACACCTGGCTAATTTTTAAATATTTTTCTAGAAACAGGGTCTCACTATATTGCCTATAGGCTGGTCTCAAACACCTGGGCTCAGGCAATCCTCCTGTCTCAGCCTCCTAAAGTGCTGGGATTATGGGCATGAGCTACCACACCTGGCCCCAGAACCCCTAATTTCTATCTAAGCACATGCTACCAAGAATAAAGAATATATTCTCAGTTCCACTTGAAATTAAGTATGGCTGTCACAGTGGTTTAGCCAATGGATATACAGAAGAAATGGAATCCGGGAACTTTTCTTAAAGGCCTTGGCACATACTCTTTGTCTCCCTTTCCTTCCACTCCCATTCTTTCTGTGTTCTTTCAGCCTGTTACTTAGAGGATGTGGTAGTTACCATTTCAGTCCATAAGAGCAAGAACCATACCCTAGGGTTGGCAAAGCAGTGGACTGAAAAGAGCCTGAGATCCTGAGGATATTGTGTAGAAATCTGCCATCCCAGCCTTGGGCTGCCTACCTCTAGACTTATGTGACAGACAAACAAACTTCTGTTTTGTTTAAGTCACTATATTTTTGTCTATTATTGCCAAACCAATTATAATTGAGGTTTAAGGGCAAGCTGTTGACCTTGGTCTATGGGTGAGAATTGTGTGGAAGATACCATTTATTTACATCTGTAAAGTATTGACAGATTTGTAACCTTAAAGTGAGGTAGGTGACTTTAGTGACATCACATATTTATTAGATTTATAGCAGCTTTAGTAAAAAGTTCTTTGTAATGGCGTGCTTGGTTACACTATTATTTAGCAGAGTGAAAAACTGAAATTAACCTCAATGTTTAATAATGAATAGATAGAATGGCATCTTAAATCATATTGCTATTCCAGTTTAATGGAATAGCCATTTTTCCTTTAACTGCTTTATTAAGATATAATTCATAGACCTTACAATTCACTCATATAAAGTGTACAATTCAATGGTTTTTAGAGCATTTACAGAGTTGTACAATCATCGCCACAGTCTGATTTTAGAACATTCTCATCATTCCCAAAAGAACATTTTAGAACATTTCCATCATCCCCTTGACCATTAGCAGTTACTCCCCATGCCCCCAACACACACCCCAGCCCTAGGCAACCATGAATCTACTTTCTATTTATATATATTTTCCTATTCTGGACATTTTATATGAATGGAATCATACAATATATGCTGTTTTGTGACTAGCTTCTTTCACTTAGCATAATGTATTCCAGGTTCATTTATGTTAAAGCATGTATCAGTACTTCATTACTTTTTATTGCTAAGTATAATAATATTCCATTGTATGGATATACTACATTGTATTTACCTATTCATCAACTGATGGACATTTAAGTCTTTCCACTTTTTATCTACTATGAATAATGCTGCTATGAACATTTCATTTTTATGTGGATATATGTTTTTTTTTCTATTGCGTATATATCTAAGAGTGGAATTGCTGGGTCATCTAATAACTATGTTTAACGTTTTGAGGAAGTGCCAACTGTTTTTCAAAGTAGCTACACCATTTTCATACCCACCAGCAATGAATAAGGGTTCTAATTTCTTCACATCCTCAACAACATTTATCTGTCTTTTTAAATATAGCCATCCTAGTGGGTGTTAAGTGGTCTCTTGTGATTTGCATTTCTCTAATGGCTAATAATATGGAACATCTTTTCATGTGCTTATTGGCTATCTCTCCCTCTTTTTTTTTTTTTTTTTTTTTTTGAGATGGGTTCTCACTCTATCACCTAGGCTGGAATGCAGTGACATGATCTTGGCTCATGGAAACCTCCACCTCCTGGGCTCAACCAATCCTCCTGGCTCAGCCTCCTGAGTAGCTGGGACTACAGGCAAGGCCACCATGCTTGGCTAATTTTTTTTTTTGTAGAGACAGGGTTTTGCCATGTCACCCAGGCTGGTCTTGAACTCCTGGACTCAAGTGATCCACCCATCTCAGCTGCCCAAAGTGTTGGGATTGCAGGCGTTAGCCACAGTGCCCAGCCTGGCTATTTTTTGTATCTTCTTTGGAGATAAAAAAGAAGCCAATAAAAGAAGATATTGAATATACTTCAATATCTTCTGAAGAATATTGAATAGAAAGAATAGAATATCTTTCTATTCACCTCCTTTGCCATTTTTAATCTGGGTTAATTGTCTTTTTGTTAATGAATTATAAGAGTTCTTTATATATTCTGGATACAAGTACTTTATCATATATATGATTTGCAAATATTTTCTCCTATTCATGGATTTTTTTTTTTTTGCTTTCTTGATGACATTGTTTGCAACACACAGTTTTTAATTTTGATGAAGTCCAATTTATCTATACTTTCTTTTGTTGATTGTGCCTTTGGTTTGTACCTAAGAAACCATTGCCCAACCTAAGATCATGAAGATTTACTCCTACATTCTAAGAGTTTTACAGTTTTAATTTTTACATTTAGGTCTATGATTTGAGTTAGTATAGTTTGAGGTAGGAGTCCAGATTCATTCTTTGGCATGTGGATATTCAGTTGTTCCAGCACCATTTGTTGAAATGACTATTTTTTCCTTCATTGACTTGTCTTAGCAGAAATAACCATCTTTAAGTTTATTTTTCTGACTATGTGTGATGTGTTCTTATAAAAAATTAAACACCATATAAATAAAAAAAAGAAAAAGGCCCTTAAAATACCACCTCCAGGCCAGGTGTGGTGGCTCATGCCTGTAATCCTAGCACTTTGAGAAGCCATGGCAGAATAGCTTGAGTCCAGGAGTTTGAGACCAGCCCGGGCAACATGGCAAAACCTTGTCTGTACGAAAAATACAAAACATTAGCTGAATGTGCCTGTTGTAGTCTCAGCTACCCAGGAGGCTGAAGTAGGGGGATCACCTGAGCCCAGGAGTTCAAGGCTGCAGTGAGCTGTGATCACACCACTGTACGCCTGGATGACAGAGTAAGACACTGTCTCAAAAAACAAACAAACAAACAAAACCACCTTCAAAGATAATTGTTAATATTATAAATGAGTGGTCTGGAATAATAGATCTCTAAGGGACCTTCCAGATCTGTGAGTCTATAAAATTTTACTAGGCACAAATAATTCCCAGAAATAACTATTTAGCAGAAAATTCTATTTGCATGAGTGATTCCCTGAAGTACTTAAATGAAAGGCCTAGTAGCCCAGCGATACAGCTATCATCCTGTTACTACTGGATAGGAGAACCCACCTAAAGCTATTAATAATTTTATTAAAATCTACAGACCTTCCCTAGAGTACCTTTTTTTTTCTGTTTACTTTGCATTCTACATTATGCCACAGCAAACATACTCGTAAATGATACTTGAACTCATACCCTTTGTATTGGAGAGGGCACTGCATCTCAGTAGCAGTATAAGGGAATGGCTAAGAGCACAGAGTCAGACTATCTTGGTTTAAATTCCAACTGTAACTCTTATCTAGTTTGTGATCTTGGACCAGTTACTTAAGCTGTCTGTGCCTCAGTTTCCTGGTAAATGGGGATCTTAATGCCAAAATTATAGGGAAATTGTGAGGATTAAGCAAGGTAATACATGTAAAGTGCCTAGGACCGTACCTGATACTTAGTAAGTGCTCAATAAAAAAGCTATGTAGCTTCATTATTATTAGCATATTCGGGTTCCTGTCACAAAGTAAGTGATAAATGATCATCAAACTAGTACTTTGAAAACTCAAATTGGGGCCAGGCATGGTGGTCTCAGCACTTTAGAGGCCAAGGCAGGAGGATCTCTGGAGGCTAGGAGTTCAAGATCAGCCTGGGCAACATAGCAAGAACCCAGTCTTTACTTAAAAAATTAAGTTCAATAAAACACTCAAAGCTGGGCACAGTGGCTCACACCTGAAATCCCAGCACTTTGGGAGGCCAAGGTGGGTGGATTACTTGAGGTCAGGAGTTTGACAGCAGCCTGGCCAACATGGTGAAACCCCGTCTCTGCAAAAAATACAAAAATTAGCTGGGCATGGTGGCGTGTGCCTGTAGTCCCAGCTACTTGGGAGGCTGAGGCAGGAGAATCGCTTGAACCCAGGAGGCAGAGGTTGCAGTGAGCCAAGATCGCACCACTGCACTCCGGCCTGGGCAATAGAGGGAGACTCTATCTAGTGTGGGCAAACTAGATAGAGTTGGGGAGCTTTTTACCTCCTAAGACACAAAGAGTTCATGACAGCTCCATTTTTACCCTAACAGGTTGGAAAAGATAGAAATCTATGAATAGCTGAAGGCAGAATGTGTTTATCCAATACAATAACATAGTTGAAACCTTGAACAAAAGCTTTTTAAAAGTTTGCTTAACGGAAACAATGTTACTTGGAGTAGTTTTTCAGTTTTTTAATTTTTTCAGTAGATGGCATCAATATAATATCCTTCATTTCTTCCCAAGGAAAATTTTTCTCTCTTTACGGGAGATACATGGTAGAAATGTTTATTATTTACCCTAGTATATCAACAATTATCTTAAAGGTAAGTGGACTAAATGCTTCAATTAAATCACCACTTTGGGCAGCTAGAGTTTTAAAATAATTATATGCCATTTATAAAAGACATTTAAAATTTAAGGATGTTAAAATGTTGAAAGTAAAACAATGGAAGATAGGGGCTGGACGTGGTGGTTCACGCCTGTAATCTTGGCATTTTGGGAAGCCGAGGCGGGAGGATTGCTTGATCCCAGGAGTTTGAGACAGGCCTGGGCAACATAGGGAGACCCCATTTCTACAAAATTTTTTTTAAAGTAGCTATGTGTGGTGGCGTGTACCTGTAGTCCCAGCTACCCAGGAAGTTGAAGTGGGAGGAATGCTTTGAGCTGGGATGTTGAGGCTGCAGGGAGCCATGTTTGTGCCACTGCACTCCAGCCTGGGCAACAGAGCAAGACCATCTAAAAAAAAAGAAAAAAGGAAGAAAGAAATTGAAAAAGAAAAAAATCACCAAAAAACCCCAAAGAAAATAGAAGTTAGGAAATAATATGGAATTGTAGTAGAGATAGAAGAAATTAATAAAATAGGAAACAAACTTACAGTAGAAATGATCAACAAATCAAGAAGTTGAGTTTTGAAGACTAAAAGAAATTTATAAATTTCTGATAGGACTGGCAAAGAAAAAGAAAGAAGGCACAGATAATATCAAAAATGAAAAGAGGAATACATCTCAGATTCTAGAGACATTTAAAAAAATTAGAGGAAATTATGACCAAATTAATGTCAATAAATTTGAACATTTACATGAACTATTTAAATTTCTAGGAAATATATCTTACTAAAACTGCCATGAAAAAGAGAAAATCTGAGCAGTCCTTTAACTGGGAAAAATAGTGATTTTATAATATTAAAAATCTTCCTACAGCCCCACTAATTACTAGATTTTGTCATCTTAGTGAGCTATGTAACTTGTTTCCGCATCTGAGAAATGAAGATAGTAACAATGCCATAGTAATATTGAAGGATTAAATGAGAAAATGCCTGTAAAAGTGCATTGCACAGGGCCTAGCATTTGCCACATGATCAATGCATGCTTGCCTTTATTAGTTTCCTTTACAGCTATGGTGTATCACTGAGTGCAGAATGTGTGTGTTCTTCAGGCTCCCTTGTGTGCAGGCTCTGAAAGGTAAAGGGGCCTGCTCTTTGTTCTGAAGTAAAACTGCTCAGGGCATTAGGTGGATCTGAAATTTAAAAATAAAATTGAAAGTAAATCAATCTTTTCCTTAAATCAGATTGTCTCTGCTTTTGTTTTACACACCTGCCTCAATATCAGTCTTGGAATTTTTTTCCCACTGTTGTGGGTGCAATTTTTGTGATATGTACAGAACCACCTACCCTACTCCAGGCCTTGGATCCTGACCTTAGTGGCTTGGAAAAGGCTGTCACTTAGAATTTACACTCCAGTTCTCACTATCACTGTCTCCATTCTTCTTCCATCTCCCCACCCTGGGGTGATTTCCCAGCCTGCTATTTGTTTTCCCGTTCGTATGGTTCCCCTAATCTCCAGAGCATGTAGTACTCACTAGCCAGACTATTGCCCATGTCTTCTGTGTTACATAAAGTTATTTCCAGCGTATCTGATCTCTTCTCATCCTTTCTCTGTCACTCGGGGGCTTTGCTCAACCTGATTGTGTCACAGTCTTTAGGAGATTCCCTCTTTCTTGATCAGAGAGCCCTTCATTCCTCCATTCCTTGCCTCTGCAATCATGAGGGTGTGACACAGATGAAGGTGTGGCACAGATCTCATCTCTTCCTGGAATTCCCAATCTCAAGAGCTTTCCTTCATGGTGTTGCTGACTTAAACGAGGGTGCCTGCCAACTGTGGGGCCCTCACCCCTCTTAAAGAGGTTTGTTTCCTTGTCACAGTGTTGTGATTTATTTCACTTTGCTCTTATCTTTAAAATCGGGTTCATTTCCTTGTCTTAGTTAGGCTCCTCACCATACCTACTCTGTATTGTGTTTCTTCCTCATTTGTCAGATTTTTTTTTTTTTTTTTTTTTTTTTGAGATGGAGTCTTGCTCTGTCACCAGGCTGAAGTGCAATGGTGCGATCTTGGCTCACCACAACCTCCACCTCCTGGGTTCAAGCAATTCTCCTGCCTCAGGCTCCTGAGTAGGTGGGACTATAGGTGTGCGCCATCATGCCTGGATAATTTTTGTATTTTTAGTAGAGACGGGTTTCACCATGTTGGCCAGGATCGTCTCGGTCTCTTGACTTTGTGATCCACCCGCCTCAGCCTCCCAAAGTGCTGGGATTACAGGTGCGAGCCACCACACGCAGCCCATTTGTTAGGTTTTTAAAAGCTGTTTCTTTCCCTCTCCCCATTCCCATCTGTCCAAATCCTGTCCTTCTTTCAGGCATCATCTCAAAGGATATCTCTGAATGAAACTTCTTTGGCAACCTCCTCTTCTTGCCCCCTCTCCCCACAGGACTCTAGTCCACTTAGAGCACTTAGGTTACTCAACCTAAAGTTATAATTACTTGTGTATACCTGCCAAAGGCCCCTACTACATTGTTAGGTACTTGAAGGCAAGGATTATTTCTTACTAATCTTTGCAGCTCCCACAGCACCCAGCACAGTGCCTGGAATATGGGAGTTACTCAGGTACTATTTGATGAATTGAATTCATACATGTAAGGATCCAGAAGATAAAGGAAAATATTTCCTTCAGTTTCCAGACTGGGACCCAACAGTGCCCTGTTTCACTGTTTATTAGGAAGCAGGTTGTATGGACCTGGAGGTGCCAGATAAAACGAAGGCTTCCATAATACACATTCATCAACCCTGCTAGGGTTGTCTCATTCATTCATTTACGCATTCATTCAACAAACATTTGTTGATGACAGAGTGCTAAACTCACAGCTTTTTTTTCTTTTCCTGTAAAGTGAGATAACAGGGAGTGGGACCCTTCCATTATAAATATAATCTGGTTGGAGAGTTGGAAATATAAACAACTGACTGTAAGGCAAAGTGAAGTAGGTGCTAGAATAACATATAGGTCAAATTCTCTAAGAGCACTAGTCCTTGGTTTCTGCAGGGCAGAAAAGAGGGATATTGGAAAAAATCAGGATGATTCAGAAGAAGGGTAACTTTGTTTTCCCTGGTGGACTCATAGCATCACTATGATAACAACTAGGCCCCGAAAGGGGGAAATCCTGTCATTTCCAGCAACAACATGGATGAGTCTGGAGGTCATTATGCTAAGTGAAATAAGCCAGGCACAGAAATATAAATACCACATGATCTCACTTATATGTGGATTCTAATAAAGTTGAACTCATAGAAGTAGAAAGTAGAGCAATGGTTAACAGAAGCTTGGGGGAAGGTGGGGAGGGACAGAATGGGGAATTATTGATTAAAGGGTACAAAATTTCAGATAGACAGGAGGAACAGGTTTTGACATCTACTGCACATCAGGGTGACTATAGTCAATGGTAATATATATTTCAAAATAGCTACGAGTAAATTTCAAATGTCTCACTATAAAAAATAATAGGTAAGTGAAGTGATGGATGTGTTAATCCGCTTGATTTAATCATGCCAATTGTATACATACATCAAAACATCACATTTTACCCCATAAATATATACAACAAAGATTTGTTAAAAAAAAAAAAAAGTGAGCGGTCATTGTGGCTCACACCTTTACAGGTTCCCAGCACTTTGGGTGGCCCAGGCAGGAGGATTGCTTGAGGCCGGCCTGGGCAACATATTTTATTGCCTTATATAAAAAAAAAAAAGTCCCCCTGAGCTTTTCTGGCCCACCTCTCATGAAATCCCTGGCACTGTCTCTGCATTTGATGAGAGTGCGAGGTAGAGTGGGTAGGAGCAGGCAAGTCAAGTTGCTGTAGACCTGTGCTGTCTAATATAGCAAGATGTAGCTAGTGGGCACTTGAAATGTGGCTAGTCTGAACTGAGATGTATTAAGTGTGAAATACACCTTGGATTGTGAAGACTTAGCGCAAAAACAGAATAATTTTTATTTTTATTTTTTGAGACAGAGTCTCCCTCTGTCACCCAGGCTGGAGTGCAGTGGCACCATCTCTGCTCACTGCAACCTTATGCCTCTCAGGTTCAAGTGATTCTCGTGCCTCAGCCTCCCGAGCAGCTGAGATTATAGGTGTCTGCCACCATGCCTGACTAATTTTTGAATTGTATGTGTGTTTATTTAATTTATTTTTATATTTTGTTTTAATTTTTGTATTTTTAGTAGAGGTGGTATTTCACCATGTTGGCCAGGCTGGCCTCAAACTCCTGACCCCAAGTGATCTGCCCACCTCGGCCTCCCAAAGTGCTGGGATTACAGGCGTGAGCCACCGTGCCCAGGCAAAAACAGAATAACTTTCATGTTGATTACATGTTAAAATCATGTTTAGGATATATTGGTTTAAATAAAATATATTGTTGAAATTAATTTCAACTGTTTCTTTTTTTTTTTCCTTTTTTAATGTGGCTACTTGACCATTTAAAGTTAGATACACCATGGGCAATATAGGGTGTAGACCCTCATCTCTACAGAAAAAATAAATAGTTGAGCATGGTGATGCATCCTTGTTGTCTCAGCTGCATGGGAAGCTGAGAGAAGAGGATCACTTGAGCCCATGGGTTCAAAGTTGCAATGAGCTATGATTGTGCCACTGCATTCCAGCTTGGGTGACAGAGCGAGACTCTGTCTCTAAAAAAATAAATAAATAAAACTGTACATGGCCCACATTATACAGTTGGCCCTTCATATCTGTGGGTTCTGCATCTGTGGATTCAACCAACTGTGGATCAAAAATATCTGGGAAAAAATAACGATACAACAATAAAAATAACAAATTTTAAAAATATGACAACTATTTACATAGCATTTACATTGTCTTAGGTATTATAAGTAACCTAGAGATGATTTAAAGTATACAGTAAGATGTGTGTAGGTTATAAGCACAAACTACACCATTTCATATAAGGGACTTGAGCATCGCGGATTTTGGTAGCTGTGTTGGAGGTGTCCTGAAACCAATCCTCTGTATATCCCAAGAGACCACTGTACTTCTCTTGGACAGTGCTGTCCTAAAGGCTGTTCCCCAGACTCAGGTACCCTAGGAAATTTGGAAAACCCTTGGGGGAAACAGATAGATCTTGATACTGAGCCGGGACCCAGTCCCACTGGTAACCAGTCCTGGCCTGGATCCAAACTCCCAGGGACTTTGGAAGTGCTATAGGCATCACTTGGGTCTAGGCTATGGTGGAGTCAGGTCACAGATAGGAAACTTGGTTCTCTCCGTTCTGTGTTTCCCTGTGACTCAGGCCACAAGGACAAATGTTGGTTTCTTTTTTGTGTTTCTTTCAAGCAGCTTCCTTGAAGACACAAATAGCTTCTGAATGGCAACGATAAGGAGCCAGTCTGGTAGAGTCTTCCATAATAGCAACTAAGCTTTTGATCATTAATCATTTAGCATACTGCTTGCCTAGGTGACTTCTTATATACAGAAAAAGGCGGCAAGGTGATGACTGAAACAAGATGCTATGCTGCCAGCTTTCAAGATGGAGGAAGGTGCCCAAGAATGCAGCTCTAGATGCTGGAAAAGAGAAATAAACAGAATCTCCCCTAGAGCCTCTGGAGGGAGCTCGACTTTGCAGACACTTGGATTTTGGCTCAGTGACACTGATTTCAGACTTCTGACCTCCAGAACTGTGAGAGAATAATGTGTATTGTTTTTAGCCACCAAGTTTGTGGTAATTTGTAACAGCAGCCATAGGAAATGAATACAGCCAGGCACTATTCTAAAGAACTCCCTTGTATTGGTTCATCCAACTCTCACCTCTTCCCATCTCCTCATTGATAGTGGGGAGGTGTATCCAGGGATCATACTTACTAATCTACCATCCTCACTAGGCTTCACCACACACCACACCCTGTACTCACATGTGCAGAACCTTCCTGACCCACTTTATTCTAGGCCAGGGAGAGACCTGAAGAGCCTCAAGCCACAGCTTTCTCCCAAACCACTCCTCACCAATCCCATAACCCCATAACCCAGGGTCCAGAGTGAAAGAAGTTGCAACAAGGAAAAAATAATTATCTTTTCACTGACTTGTTTTGTAAATCTGGATTTTTATATTAGGTTAGGATGAAGGTGGCACCTTCCTCCATCTCAAGGGCCAGCAGCATAGTATCTGGTTTCCATCATCACATTGCTGCCTTCCTCAGTAAAACCCTTCCTAGATTTTACTCCCTCTATCTCCCTCTTACAAGGACACTTTGTGATTACATTTAGGGTCCACCCAGGTAACCCAAGATAATTTCCCCATCTCAAGATACTTAATAACATCTGCAAAGACCCCTTTTCCATTAAGGTAACATTCACAGATTCCAGGGATTAGCACCTAGATATCTTTCATGGCCATTATTTAGCTGCCACGCTGGTATAAAGTAAATGCTTAAGAAACTAGCTATTATTATTACTGTGCTAAGCACTTTTTATGTGCTAATTAATCCTCACTACAACACTATGAAGCAGAGACTATGGGTATCCCATCTTACAGAGAAGAAAGAGGCTTAGAGAGCTTAAGCAGTTGCCTAAAATCAGATGGCAAGTGTCAGAGCCCGTGCTCTTAGCCTCCATACAGGCTGATTTGGGGAGCACACCTATGACTGCACTTGTGGTAAGAATGACGCTCACCCTACTTTTCCATTTGAATCATTTGAGTGGTTGTATGTGTTCTTGGAGTAGGGGTGGTCTTTCCCCATAGAGTGTCATCTCTTTCAGGACAAGGAGTCTGTCTGTCATGCACTTTCTCTTGTGGTTTGGTGCTCTGCACATACTGAAAACAAAATTAATATTGTTGATTTAACTGCCAAAGCTGGAGCACATAAGGATCATTAAGTGCAAAGAATACTGATCAAACAGAACAAGCTCTACCTCCTTATTTGCCAACCCCTAGAAGTTGACATGGTGACAGGGGTGAGTTGAAAAGGAAGAAGTTTAGTTTTACCTTCTAAAGGTCAGCCTGTCTGTTGTCTGGTACAGGTAGAGATTACAACAATAACCCTTCAGGAAAACATTACATTTTGTCCCATGAAAAATAAACAGCATTTTGTCCATGCGTCACATACTAGTCTTTCTGGCATGATGGACTGTGGTTAAACTCAGCATAACCTGGGAATGGGTAGGAGATGGACATCATTGAGTAGGAGAAAGTGAAACTGGGAAATGAACTGTGGAGAAAGAGATCTCCACAGGGTCAGTGACAAGTATTCAGAATGATCATGGGAAAAAGCGTAGTGTGGAGGAAAAGGGGGGCCGTGGAAGTGACTGAAGTTCAGACTGCATTCTGGGAGATGAAAGAAGCAAACAAGGGCACAGCACTAAGGAAGGAGAGGAGAAGGAGTTTGAGTTATACAAGATGTTCTCTGAAAAATGAAAGATACCAGAAGTGGCCATATTAAAAACCATCTCATAATGGACCTGCTTTACTTCAGAAGGGATAAGTGCTAGTATTTGCTAAGTCTGAGAAATCATCATTGCAGTCTTGTCATGATGAATCATGTAGTGGCCACCCCAGAAACCTGAATCACCAAAGCTTCCTTTCCTCACCTCATTGCCATATAAACTGACTAGACTGGGATGGGAGAAAAAGATGGAGGCTTGCAAATATCCTCTCCAGCATCACCCAGGCACTAAGGGCAGTGAGGTGGCCAAGGTCCGAGTCCTAGGGCTTTTAGATTTCCACTGATACTGCTCTAGAGGATTTGATGGATGTGCTTGTTGGCTCATCATGTCATCCCCTTTCCGTAGGCACATCTGTAAAAATGTCAGCAGAAGGTGGCCCAGTGAGCAGGAAACCCCACGGGTGGGGTACGGGAGGCTCCATGGTTCTAATGGCTGATGCCACCCTGCTTCAGTGGCCTGATGCCTCCATGTCTGTTATTAGGGTGTTCCTACTGTGGGGATTGGCACATTGTTTTCGTCCTATGTTATTATGCAACCGATTAGGTTGAGACTTAACCTAATCCGGTGCAGTCCAGTTCCTATTTTCCAAAGATGACAGTATACCCAGGCCACTTAAATTTGATCTGGGTGTTGGTGAGACTATTACACACCCACAAATAATCCAATAATCTCTTTGGCTGTGTCATTTCTACTGGTGTCTAACCTCATCCTTTTTATTTGGCTCTCATTGATTTTATATTATTTGGGGTGTCATCCCAACATATTGCCTGTATAAATTGTGTCTCCTTAATTCCACAAATGAACATTACTGAGAGTTAGTGTTATTCTTATTTTACGGCTGAAAAAAACTGACACTAACAGGTTTGGTAACTTGTCCAAAATCACATAGCTGGTAAATTCTAAGAATAGTGGTTCTGGCTGGGCGTGGTGATCTCACACCTGTAATCCCAGCACTTTGGGAGGCTGAGGCGGGCAGAACCTAAGGTCAGGAGATCGAGACCATCCTGGCTAACATGGTGAAACCCTGTCTCTACTAAAAATACAAAAAATTAGCCAGGCATGGTGGCAGGCACCTGTAGTCCCAGGTACTCGGGAGGCTGAAGCAGGAGAATGGCATGAACCTGGGAGGCAGAGCTTGCAGTGAGCCGAGATTGCGTCACTGCACTCCAACCTAGGCGACAGAGGGAGACTCCGTCTCAAAAAAGAAAAAATAAATAAAGAATTATGATTCCATCCCTGATCAGTCTGATTTTAAGGTTCAGTCTTTTCCAACATAATGCTGAAGTGACCGGGAAAAGTCAAGCTTCTAAATTGGCAATTCAATTGGGAATTTACTATTATGGTCTGTGATGATGACATCTTATATTATGTACAACAGTGGATCAAACCTGACTGCATATCAGATCATGTTGTTGAGCTTTTAAAAACTATACATGCTTGGCTGGGTGTAGTGGCTCACACCTGTAATCCCAGCACTTTGGGAGGCCAGGGCAGATCACCTGAGGTCGGGAGTTCAAGACCAGCCTGACCAACATGGAGAAACCCCGTCTCTACTAAAAAATACAAAATATTAGCTGGGTATGGTGGCACATACCTGCAATCCCAGCTACTCGGGAGGCTGAGGCAGGAGAATTGCTGGAACCTGGGAGGCAGAGGTTGTGGTGAGCCAAGATCATGCCATTACACTCCAGCCTGGGCAACAAGAGTGAAACTCCATCTCAAAAAAAAAAAAAAAAAAAAGCTATACATGCTTTGAATGTATTAATACAATTAGATTTGCTAATATTTTGTTCAGAATTTTTGCATCTATGTTGATGAGAGAGATCATCATGTAATTTTCCTTTCTTATAATGTCCTTGTCTGTTTTGGATATCAAGGTTATGCTGGCCTCATAAAACAAGTTATAAAGTGTTCTCTTCTCTTTGGTGTGTGTTTTTTTTTTTTTTTTTTTTTTTTTTTTGGTAGTGACAAAGTTTCACCTTGTTGCCCAGACTGGTCTCGAACTCCTGGGCTCAAGGGATCCACCAGCTTTGGCCTCCCAAAGTGCTGGGATTATAGGCATGAGCTACTGCACCTGGCTCTTCTCTTCTTTTTTATTGCCTTGTATTTAGACAATGTTATCTGTACTTTTTCTATAGTTTATACCTCACAAATTTTTCATTTTGGCCTAATATATGGTCAATTTTTGTGAATTATCCACAGATACTTTAAAAAAAAGGTGTATTCTCTTTCTTGAGTACCAAGTTTTATCTGTTATTAATTATGGTATTTAGCCCTTCTCTGTTGTTTTGGCTTCTACTACAGTGTTTCCATTTTTTCTTGTACATCCTGTGATTTTATGTTTTAATTAATATTCATGTCGGTGCTAAGTTATTTGGTGCCTAGGTATTCATAACATTGTAACTTGTGAACTGCAATTTTTTATCATTATAGATTATTTATTTGTACCCCTTAATACTTGTTTGTCCTGATGTTAGCCTTGCCTGATGTTAAAATTATAACCATTGCAGTCACTTCCAAGATGGCTGAATTGGAACAG
This sequence comes from Homo sapiens, assembly GCF_000001405.40. NCBI lineage: Eukaryota > Metazoa > Chordata > Mammalia > Primates > Hominidae > Homo > Homo sapiens. The sequence continues at coordinate 228,511 of NT_187605.1, read as the reverse complement.
CTCTGGCCTGCAGCTCCCAGCAAGACTGACACAGAAGATGGGTGATCTCTGCATTTCCAACTGAAGTACTTGGTTCATCTCATTGAGACTGATTGGACAGTGGGTGCAGCCCACAGAGGGCTAGCTGAAGCAGGGCGGGACATTGCCTCACACAGTAAGCACAAGGGGTTGGGGCATTTCCCTTTGCTAGCTAAGGGAAGCCATGACAGACTCTACCTGGAGGAAAGGGTACACTCCCACCCAAATACTGCACTTTTCCCACAGCCTTAGCAACCAACTGACCAGCAAATTCTCTTCCGTGCCTGGCTCGGCAGGTCCCACACCGATGGAGCCTTGCTCACTGCTAGCACAGCAGTCTGAGATTGACCTGCAAGGCTGCAGCCTGGTGGGGAGAGGGACATCCGCCATTGCTGAGGCTTGAGTAGGTAAACAAAGCAGCCAGGAAGCTCGAACTGGGTGGAGCCCACCACAGCTCAGCAAGGTCTACTGCCTCTCTAGACTCTACCTCTGTGGGCAGGGCATAGCTGAACAAAAGGCAGCAGACAACTTCTGCAGACTTAAATGTCCCTGTCTGACAGCTCTGAAGAGAGCAGTGGTTCTCCCAGCACAGTGTTCGAGCTCTGAGAATAGACAGACTGCCTCCTCAAGTGGGTCCCTGATCCCTGTGTAGCCGGACTGGGAGGCACCTCCAGTAGGGGCCAACTAACACCTCATACAGGTGGGTACCCCTCTGGGACAAAGCTTCCAGAGGAAGGATCAGGCAGCAATAGCTGTTCTGCAATATTCACTGTTCTGCAGCCTCCGCTGGTGATACCCAGGCAAACAGTGTCTGGAGTGGACCTCCAGCAAACTCCAACAGACCTGCAGCTGAGAGGCCTGTGAGAAGCAAAACTAACAAACAGAAAGGAATAGCACCAACATCAACAAAAAGGACATCCACACCAAATCCCCATCTGTAGGTCACCAACGTCAAAGACCAAAGTTAGATAAAACCACAAAGATGGGGAGAAACCAGAGCAGAAAAGTGGAATATTCCAAAAACCAGAGTGCCTCTTCTCCTCCAAAGTACTGCAGCTCCTCGCCAGCAATGGAACAAAACTGGACAGAGAATAAGTTTGACGAGTTGACAGAAGTAGGCTTCAGAAGGTCAGTAATAACAAACTTCTCCAGCTAAAGGAGTATGTTCTAACCCATCGCAAGGAAGCTAAAAACCTTGAAAAAAGGTTAGACAAATGGCTAACTAGAATAAACAGTGTAGAGAAGACCTGAAATGACCTGATGGAGCTGAAAACCATAGCACGAGAACTTTGTGATGCATGCACAAGATTCAATAGCTGATTCGATCAAGTGGAAGAAAGGATATCAGTGATTGAAGATCAAATTAATGAAATAAAGCGAGAAGACAAAATTAGAGAAAAAACAGTGAAAAGAAATGAACAAAGCCTCCAAGAAATATGGGACTATGTGAAAAGACCAAATCTACATTTGATTGGTGTACCTGAAAGTGACAGAGAGAATGGAACCAAGTTAGGGAACACTTTTCAGGATATTATCTGGGAGAACTTCCCCAACCTAGCAAGGCAGGCCAACATTCAAATTCAGGAAATACATAGAACACCACAAAGATACTCCTTGAGAAGAGCAATCCCAAGACACACAATTGTCAGACGCTCCAAGGTTGAAATGAAGGAAAAAATGTTAAGGGCAGTCAGAGAGAAAGGTTGGGTAACCCACAAAGGGAAGCCCATCAGACTAACAGCAGATCTCTTGGCAGAAACTCTACAAGCCAGAAGAGAGTGGGGGACAATATTCAACATTCTTTAAGGAAAGAATTTTCAACCCAGAATTTCATATCCAGCCAAACTAAGCTTCCTAAGTGAAGGAGAAATAAAATCCTTTACAGACAAGCAAATGCTTTTGTCACCCCCAGGCCTGCCTTACAAGAGCTCCTGAAGGAAACACTAAACATGGAAAGCAACAACCAGTACCAGCCACTGCAAAATATGCCAAATTTTAAAGACCATTGATGCTAGGAAGAAACTGCATCAATTAATGGGCAAAATAACCAGCTAACATCATAATGACAGGATCAAATTCACACATAACAATTTAACCTTAAATGTAAATGGGATAAATACCCCAATTAAAAGACAGATACTGACAAATAGGATAATGAGTCAAGACCCATCAGTGTACTGTATTCAGGAGACCCATCTCACGTGCAGAGACACACATTGGCTCAAAATAAAGGGATGGAGGAAGATCTACCAAGCAAATGGAAAGCAAAAAGAAAAGCAGGGGTTGTATTCCTAGTCTCTGATAAAACAGACTTTGAACCAACAAAGATCAAAAGAGACAAAGAAGGCCATTACATAATGGTAAAGGGATCAATTCAACAAGAAGAGCTAACTATCCTAAATATATATGCACCCAATACAGGGGCACCCAGATTCATAAAGCAAATCCTTAGAGACCTACAAAGAGACTTAGACTCTCACACAATAATGGGAGATTATAACACCCCACTGTCAATATTAGACAGATCAATGAGACAGAAGGCTAACAAGGATATCCAGGACTTGAACTCACCTCTGCACCTAGTGGACCTAATAGACATCTACAGAACTCTCCACCCCAAATCAACATTATACACATTCTTCTCAGCACCACATCGCACTTCTTCCAAAATTGACCACATAGTTGGAAGTAAAACACTCCTCAGCAAATGTAAAAGAACAGAAATCACAACAAACTGTCTCTCAGACCACAGTGCAAACAAACTAGAAATCAGGATTAAGAAACTCACTCAAAACCACACAAATACATGGAAACTGAACAACCTGTTCCTGAATGAATACTGGGTAAATAACGAAATGAAGGCAGAAATAAAGATGTTCTTTGAAACCAATGAGAACAAAGACACAACGTACCAGAATCTCCGGGACACATTTAAAGCAGTGTGTAGAAGGAAATTTATAGCACTAAATGCCCACAAGAGAAAGCAGGAAAGATCTAAAATCAACACCCTATCATGACAATTGAAAGAACTAGAGAAGCAACAGAAAACATATTCAAAAGCTAGCATACGGCAAGAAATAACTAAGATCAAAGCAGAACTGAAGGAGATAGAGATACAACAAACCCTTCAAAAAAACAGTGAATCCAGGAGCTGGTTTTTTGAAAAGATCAATAAAATTGATAGATTGCTAGCAAGACTAATAAAAGAAAGAGAGAAGAATCAAATAAATGCAATAAAAAACGATAAAGGGGATATCACCACAGATCCCACAGAAATACAAACTACCACCAGAGAATACTATAAACACTTCTATGGAAATAAACTAGAAAATCTAGAAGAAATGGATAATTCCCTGGACACACACACCCTCCCAAGACTAAACCAGGAAGAAGATGAATCTCTGAATAGAACAATAATATGTTCTGAAATTGAGGCAATAATTAATAGCCTATCAACCAAAAAAAAGTCCAGGACCAGACAAATTCACAGCCAAATTGTACCAGAGGTATAAAAAGGAGCTGGTACCATTCCTTCTGAAACTATTTCAAACAATAGAAAAAGAGGGAATCCTCCCTAATTTTATGAGGCCAGCATCATCCTGATACCAAAGCCTGGCAGAGACACAACAAAAAAAGAGAAATTTAGACCAATATCCCTGATGAAGATCGATGCAAAATTAGTATAGTCAAACCGAATCCAGCAGCACCTCAAAAAGCTTATACACCACAATCAACTCGGCTTCATCCCTGCAATGAAAGGCTGGTTCAACATATGCAAATCAACAAACATAATCCATCACATAAACAGAACTGATGACAAAAACCACATGATTATCTCAATCGATGCAGAAAAGGCTTTTGACAAAATTCAACAGCGCTTCATGCTGAAAACTCTCAATAAACTAGGTATTGATGGAATGTATCTCAAAATAATAACAACTAGTTATGACAAAACCATAGCCAATATCATACTGAATGGGCAAACACTGGAAGCATTCCCTTTGAAAACCGGCACAAGACAAGTATGCCCTCTTTCACCACTCCTATTCAACATAGTGTTGGAAGATGGGCCAGGGCAATCGGGCAAGAGAAAGAAATAAAGGGTATTCAATTAGGAAAAGAGGAAGTTAAATTGTCCCTGTTTGCAGATGACATGATTGTGTATTTAGAAAATCCCATCATCTCAGCCCAAAATCTCCTTAGGCTGATAAGCAACTTCAGCAAAGTCTCAGGATACAAAATCAATGTGCAAAAATCACAAGCATTCCTATACGGCAATAACAGACAAACAGAGAGCCAAATCATGAGTGAACTCCCATTCACAATTGCCACAAAGAGAATAAAATACCTAGGAATCCAACTTCACAGGGGATGTGAAGGACCTCTTCAAGGAGAACTACAAACCACTGCTCAATGAAATAAAAGAGGACACAAACAAATGGAAGAACATTCCATGCTCATGGATAGGAAGAATCAACATCGTGAAAATGGCCATACTGCCCAGGGTAATTTATAGATTCAATGCCATCCCCATCAAGTTACCAATGACTTTCTTCACAGAATTGGAGAAAACTACTTTAAAGTTCATATGGAACCTAAAAAGAGCCCGCATAGCCAAGATAATCCTAAGCCAAAAGAACAAAGCTGGAGGCATCACACTACCTGACTTCAAACTATACTACAAGGCTACAGTAACCAAAACAGCATGGTACTGGTACCAAAACAGATATATAGATAAATGGAACAGAACAGTGGCCTCAGAAATAACACCACACATCTACAACCATCTGATCTTTGACAAACCTGACAAAAACAAACAATGTGGAAAGGATTCCCTATTTAATAAACGTGCTGGGAAAACTGGCTAGCCATATGTAGAACGCTGAAACAGGATCCCTTCCTTACACCTTATAAAAAAATTAACTGAAAGTGGATTAAATACTTAAATGTAAGACCTAAAACCATAAAAACCATAGAAGAAAACCTAGGCAATACCATTCAGGACATAGCCATGGGCAAAGACTTCATGACTAAAACAACAAAAGCAATGTCAACAAAAGCCAAAATAGACAGATGGGATCTAATTAAACTAAAGAGCTTCTTCTGCATGGCAAAAGAAACTATCATCAGAGTGAACAGGCAACCTACAGAATGGGAGAAAATTTTTGCAATCTACCCATCTGACAAAGGGCTAATATCCAGAATCTACAAAGAACTTAAACAAATGTACAATACAAAAACAACCCCATCAAAAAGTGGCCAAAGGATATGAACAAACACTTCAGAAGACATTTATGCAGCCAACAGACACACGAAAAAATGCTCATCATCACTGGTCATGAGAGAAATGCAAATCAAAACCACAGTGAGATACCATCTCTGACCAGTTAGAATGGCGATCATTAAAAAAGTCAGGAAACAACAGATGCTGGAGAGGATGTGGAAAAATAGGAACACTTTTACGCTGTTGGTGGGAGTGTAAATTAGTTCAACCATTGTGGAAGAGAGTGTGGCGATTCCTCAAGGATCTAGAACTAGAAATACCATTTGACCCAGTGATCCCATTACTGGGTATATACCCAAAGGATTATAAATCATGCTACTATAAAGACACATGTGCACTTATGTTTACTGTGGCACTATTCACAATAGCAAAGACTTGGAACCAACCCAAATGTCCATCAATGATAGACTGGATTAAGAAAATGTGGCACATATACACTATGGGATACTATGCAGCCATAAAAAAGGATGAGTTTGTGTCCTTTGCAGGGACATGGATGAAGCTGGAAACCATCATTCTCAGCAAACTATCACAAGGACAGAAAACCAAACACCGCATGTTCTCACTCATAGGTGGGAGTTGAACAATGAGAACACATGGACACAGGGCGGGGAACATCACACACCAGGGCCTGTCAGGGGGTGGGGGCCTGGGGGAGGGATAGCATTAGGAAAAATACCTAATGTAAATGACGAGTTGATGGGTGCAGCAAACAAACATGGCACATGTATACCTATGTAACAAACCTGCATGTTGTGCACATGTACTCTAGAATTTAAACTGTAATAGAAAATAAAAAGGAAGAAAGAGAAAAAAAACAAAAACAAAAAACAAAAAAATTATAACCATTGCTTTCTTCTAATTTACATTTGTAAAGATTTTGTATTTACTTTTTTTTGGATCCCTTGTATACAGCATAGAGTTGGATTTTCCTTTATGATTTAATCCAAATTTATTTTATTTTATTTGACTTTCAATTTTTATTATTTTTTAAATAAAAAATAGTGATGGGATCTCACTATGTTGCCCAGGCTGTTCATGAACTCCTGGGCTCAAGCGATCCTCCTGCCTAAGCCTCCCAAAGTGCTAGGATTACAGGTGTGAGTCACCACACGTGACTGAAATTTCTTTTATTTTAATACATTAGCTTAGCACATTTATATTTATTAAATTGACATACTTGGTCTTAATTATTTATATAATTTTATATGATGCCTTCTATATTTCATAGATCCTTTAAAAACTCTGATGTTGTGGTATTTGGTTTTATTTTTTCTGAAAATCTGGAAAGGTTATATTTTTGTTTTAGTGATTGTCTTTATAATTTATATACTTAATCTTCCTCTTTTAGGCATTATCTATCAATCCCCTAATATGACTAAATAATGAAATTAGAATATTTTCTCATCTTCTCCCTATCCTGCTCTTGATGACCTCTCTTTTTGCCATAGTTTTCCCATTTATTTATTGGTTGGTGTAAGTTCATCTTCTAGTACTTTCTTCAAGGAATGCTCATGGAAACAATATTTCTTGAGATCCTCCCATGTTCAGAAATGTCTCACTGTGCCTTTTTATATAAACAGACAGAGATAAACACAACAGAATATCTCGAGAATTGACTCAGAAGTATGCCATGTGATGCTACCTCAAAGTCAGAATAACCTGCATTATAGCTGAAATAAACTTTAAATTGCTATTCCTTTTTACCTTCCTCCCTTCCTCTCGCTCTCTCTCTCTCTCTCTCCTCTCTCTCTCTCTCTCTCTCTCTCTTTCTCCACTTACTGCAGCCTCTGCCCCCCTGGATTCAAGCAATTCTCCTGCATCAGCCACCCAAGTAGCTGGGATTACAGGCGTGTGCCACCACACCTGACTAATTTTTGTATTTTTTTTTTTTTAATTTTTTGTGGAGACAGGGTTTCACCATGTTGCCCAGGCTGGTCTCGAACTCCTGAGCTCAAGCGATCTGCCTGTCTTGGCCTCCCAAAGTGCTGGGATTCTAGGTGTGAGCCACCGTGCCCGGCCCCTTTTTAGTTTCTTATCCAGCTGCTCCCATATCAGACCTCATCTTTTTAAATTTTATTTTTGTTTACCTCCCTCCATTCATTCACATGCTCATTTGAGAAGACTTAAGTTCTCCAAGCTTTGGACAATAACTGCTTTTAAAAACTGTAAGATTTCAAGAGTACATTTGCCCAAGACTCAGAATTGTTTTACAAATGCAGCATGTGTATTATGTGGCCAGTGTCTTCACTCTAACTTGGTTATAAGACTGAAACCATTCTTCACTGCTCTAACATGCTGAATAAATCAACTGAGGGGGAGGGGGTGTTTATCTCTGTCTGTTTATATATGTTATATGCGTTGTCATGAGGCTGTGTGACTTATCTAAGTGGAATATTGAATATCCATTGAAATGGATTTGTTAAGTCATTTATATTATTAATGAGCATTTAAATGCAACGGATATCATTTCAGGTGACTTCACATGAATGAATAAAAGTCAGTGCTATTGGATTATTTTTGGCTTGAAAAAAAATAGACTTTGTACATCAGAGTGAAATCCTAACCCTAGAGAAGTATAATTTTCCAGCTTTTGCCCTAAGGTCTTCAGCCATAGGCCTTCTCACTACCTTTCTTCTTGCACCCTGGCATTTCCTACAGTGTAAAACACTGGAGGATCTATGTGAACCCCTGGGTTGGGTCACTTGCTAGGCTCTAGTTGCTGTTGTTGTTTTTGTTGTTTTGTGCCACTCTCTCCTTGTTCACTGTGATTCTGCCACACTGCTGACTTTTCATGATGGTCTCGCCCTCTTGGACTCCACGTTTGTGGTTCCTTCTGCCTGGAACACACAATCTCCCTCCCTAGCCTCACTGCTGTCACAACTCAAGTCTCTCAAGTACAGCTTTATCTATCACTCCCTCAGGGCAAACTTCCCTTGCTTTCAAGCTAGACTAGGTTCCTCTGCTACACACTTTCATGGTTTTCTTTTCTTTTCCTTCATAGCCCTTACCATAATTGTGTTTGAGTCATTACTTCTATGATTATCTGCTTAATGGCTTCTCCTCCCCTAAGTGGGGATTGTGTCTGTCAGATTCATTGTATCCCCAGCACCGTGTACCAGCATGTCACAGACACTTATTACATAGTTGCTGAATAAATGGATGAATGATCCCGTCCCAATATGGCTCCCACTCCCATCTTTTCACCAAAACTCCGTTTGCATGATGACCAATTACCTCCTTGTTGCTGAATCCACTAGATATTCTTTGGTTTCCCTCTTGACTTCTTATCAGTCTTAAACACTTGAGCACTTTTTTCTTAAAACACTACTTTTTGGCTGGGCACGGTAGCTCACACCTGTAATCCCAACACTTTGGGAGGCTGAGGCGGGTGGATTACGAGGTCAGGAGATCGAGACCATCCTGGCCAACATGGTGAAACCCCGTCTCTACTAAAAAAAATACAAAAAATTAGCCGGGTTTGGTGGTGGGTGCCTATAGTCCCAGGTACTTGGGAGGCTGAGGCAGGAGGATGGCGTGAACCTGGGAGATGGAGCTTGCAGTGAGCCGAGATCACACCACTGCACTCCAGCCTGGGCAACAGAGTGAGACTCTGTGTCAAAAAAAAAAAAAATACTTAAAAATGTGGAAATGGCTTTGGACTAGTTAATGGGCAGAGGTTGGAAGAGTTTGGAGGGCTGAGAAGAAGACAAAAAGACTAGAAAAATTTAGGAACTTCTTACATATTGGTTAAATGGTTGTGACCAAAATGCTTATAGACATATAGACAGTAAAGGCCATGCTGACAAAGTCTCAGATGGAAATGAGGAACTTATTGGGAACTGGAGCAAATGTCACCCATATTATGCCGTAGCAAAGAACTTGGCTGCATTGTGTTCATGGCCTAGGGCTTTGTGGAAGGCCAAACTTAAGAGTGATGACCTGGGGTATCTGGTGGAAGAAATTTCTAAACAGCAACGCATTCAAGAAGTGGCATGGCTACTTTTAACAGCTTATGATCAGATACAGCAGCAAAATAATGATCTAAAGGTGGAATTTCTAAATAAAATAGAAAGAGCAAAACAATTTGGAATATTTATAACTTGGTCATGTGGTAGAGAAGGAAAGAATGTTTTCAGGTGAGGAATCCAAGGGCGATATGGAGCAACCACTTGCTAGAGAGATTACCATGGATAAAAGGGAACCAGGTGCTAATAGAACAATGGGGAAAAGACCTCAAAGACATTTCAGAAATCTTTGAGGTCATCCCTCCCATCACAGGCTCAGAGGCCTATGAGGACAGAATGGTTTCAGGGGACAGGCCTGGGGTGCTTTTGTTCTGTGCCACCACAGGATGTGGGGAGCATCCCAATTGCTCTAGCTCTAACCTGAGCACAAACAGCCCCAGGTACCACTCAGGCTGCTGTTCCAGAGAGCGTAAGCCTTAAGTTGTGGCAGCTTCCACATGGTGTTGTCTGCAGGCTCCCAGAATGTAAGAGTGGTAGAGGCTGGGCAGCTTCCACCTAGATTTCAGAGGATGTATTGGAAAGCCTGAGTGCCCAGGCAGAAGCCTGCCACAGGGGCAAGCCACTGCAGAGAAACTGTACTAGGGCAGTGCCTAGTAGCTGTGGAAGAAGGGCTGCTGCCCTCCACCCTAGCATTATGGAGTCACCAGCAGCATGCACCTCAGTCTGTGAAAGCCTCAGGCACTCCACTCCAAACCATAAGAGCAGCCATGTAGGCAGCGCTCAGCAAAGCCATAGGGATAGGGCTGTCTGAGGCACTGGGAGCCCATCCCTCAAACCAGTGTCCCCAGAATGCAGGACATGGAGTCAAAGTTTATTTTGGAGCTTTAAGATTTAATGTCTGCCTGTCTGCCCTACTGGGTTTCAGACTTGCATGGGCCTGTTACCTTTCTTTTGGCCAGTTTCTCCTTTGGGGAATGAAAATCTTTACCTAATGCCTGTACAACCATTGCATCTGGGAACTAAATAACTTGTTTTTGATTTTACAGGCTCATAGCTGGAAGGAATTTGCCCTGAGTCTCAGATGAGACTCTGGACTTCATATTTTTAAGTTGATGTTGGAACAAGTTAATGCTTTTGGGACTACTGGGGTAGACTGTATTTTGCATGTGAGAAGGACATGAGTTTGGGGGGAAGGGGCAGAATGTTATAGTTTGGATGTTTGTCTCCCCAAGCCTCATGTTGAAATTTGATCCCAATGTTGGAAGTGGGGCCTAATGGGAAATGTTTGGGTCAGAGAGGATGACCTCTCATGAATAGATTAATGCCCTCCCTTTGTGGGTTGGTGGGCGCAGGTAAAGTGAGTGAGTTCTCACTCTGTTATGCTGGTTGTTAGTTCCCATGAAAGCTGGTTGGTAAAAAGAGCCTAGCACCTCCCTGCTCTCTCTTGCTTCCTCTCTCACCATGTGATCTCAGCGCGTGCTCGCTCTCCTTCCCTCTTCCCTTCTGCCAATAGTGGAGGCAACCTGCAGCCCCTCACCAGAAGCTGAGCAGATGCTGCCACCATGCTTATTGTGCAGCCTGCAGAACCATGAGCCCTATAAGCCTTTCCTTTATAAGTCACCCAGCCTCAGATATTCCTTTATAGCAACACAAAGTAGACAAAGACACCATCTCAAACTTGGCCTACCCAAAATTACACGTTTGATATTTTCCCCAAATCGGGTCCTCCCCAAATCTCAGCTGAGAGTATCTTCATCCATCCAGTTAGTCATGCCAGAAATCTGGGAGTCAGCCTTTCTGCTATCTTCTCCTCAACTCCCACAAGCTAACACCTTACCAAGTTCCATGGATCCTACATCCAAAATAAATCTTGTATCTGTCTACTTCACTCCACCTCCACTTCCACCATTTATCCAAGTCCAAATCACCATTCTTGGCTGGCATATAGCAGGAACCTCAACTGGTCTCCTTGCTTCCATTCTTCCTGTGCCACCAGCACTGCCACCACTACCAAAGTGCCTCTCTCCTTGGGTAGTTCTAGACTAAAATTCCTGCTCTCTGACTCTCTTTTCCTAACTCTTCTTAGTGCTTTCTTCAGGTTTGTTAATGGAAAGTATGTTAATGGTTCCTCAGGGTGGCCTCTATTAATCTCTTTTATTGCATATGGATTTTACTAGTTTAATGTTCGTTGTCAACCTTATTTCCAAGTTCTTCAAGAAACTTTATGGTTTTTGGTTTTTTGTTGCTTCTTTCTTTTGTTGTGAATAGCTAGGTGTGAGTAACTGAATAGCTGATGAAGCAATGGAGAAAGCCATAGTCAGGATTTTATAACTGTTCTGACTTTTGGAACACCAAGGACCTATGGCACACTGATTTTTCTTGTTAGTACACTATGTAATCCAGACCTGCAATAACCCAGTATCTGTGATAATTTAAGGGGAGACTAACCCATCACAGACACTGGGTTATTGCAGGTTATCCAGATCCAGTATCTGATGGGTTAAAGTCTCCCTTAGATACGTGACCCCACAGGATTAATTTTTAATTAATTATATTTTAAACTCCAAATGAGTTTTTTTTTCCTTTTTTTTTTCCCCAGGGGAAAGCACGAATGCAGTTCCTCACTACCACAAATTATGCTGTTGAGTTTCCCGCATTTGGGGAAATCACAGTGGTAAGCACACCTATGGAGTGCAATGGATGAGCCTCAGCCTGGGAAAACCACCTTCATGATCATGGCATCTCCCCTGCCAGGTAAGAATCCAAATAAGTTTTGATAGTAGAGATTTATCAAGAACTTGTTAGTTGTATTCAGTGGGGAGAGTGTTTCGAAGTGCTGTGCTGTCTGGGAACGTTAAGCAGAGACCTAGAGAAGCTATGCCAAGCAGGCCACCAGCAAAGTCAAAGGCAGCATTTTACAGCTTATTCAGTAAAATGCCTGGAAAAGTCTGTTCCTCAGCACTATGAATGCTGGTCTTCATTAGGAAATTATGCAGAATGTCACAATACTATAATAACAACTTTTTTTTTGTTTTTAAAATGTCAGCTTCTTAAGACTCCTTATCAAGTTCTTCTGCTCTGAAAAAACAGAATCCTTATCAATTCTTCCTTTTACTTTCTCTATAAAGAGCCCTAGTCATAGAATATATTTCTAAATTTGCCTTCCCCTCCTCCAAATCTCTGCTACCAGGCAACAACCTTCAAGACAGCTTTAAAGTGTTATTGCTCAGGAGAAAACAAATACAACTCCAGTGTGGCCATTATGTCATTATTCCAGTGGCTTTTGCTTTGGTTCTCTGTGTTTTGTTTTCATAATTTAAAGTCCAAGGAGTGTCTCCTTAAAGTGGCCCTCAGCTCTTAAGCCATTCCTGGGGTCTTCTCCTTCAGCTTCACCCATTGGAAGGACATGCTTAGAAGACTGTGAGGAAACCCCATAAAGCAAGGAGGGTTAAACTGGGTTTTAAATTCAGTGGGTAAGTGAAGGCAAGTACCTCATCTCTCCAAGCAAGACCTTCTTAGCTGCTAAGAGCAGGAGCTACTGAAAGAACCAGTCATGCACAGCTAAGAGCTGTGGGAGGTATCTAAAAGCAAAGGACCTGACTGATTCCATAAGTCATTCCACTGCAAAAATCCATTCCACTGCCTTGTACATCTTGTAATGCTCCCCCACCCCGCACCTACACATGCACGCGTGCGCACACATACACACTTCCTTTTTTGTCATTACTGGGGCTCCAGAGATTGATCCGTCTTCATCACCAAATTTTTTGGGGGCTTTTATACTGTATAGAACACTTTACCACATCCTGGTTAAGAAATGAGGCCTTGTCATCAGTGGGATTCCAGTGCATTTGGGGAAGGGGTGATTACTGGTGAAAGTACAGGCTGTGCCCTGTGTGTTGGGCAGGCCAGGGGAGACAACTTCAAGGGCTGGGGCAAAGTCTAATGGATTAGGTAAGGGGATTAGCAGTGTGTCTGTGAAACCACCACTGCAAAATCATAACTGAGACAGTGAAAGAAATCTGACCTAAAATCTTGCTTCTAACCTCCAAGCTGTCCTTCTTCATTCCTGGGCATGGTCTGAACCAACTTCAGGGAGATCTTAGTTTTTAATTTATAGATTAAAACAGAGATAACAGCCCTTCTCCAAAACAAACCTCCTTCTTGCCTGGGGACTAGACTGCCTTTGTAGGAGTAATGAATTAGCCACAAGAGTAGAAATTATGGTTTAGGAGTCACGCAGCTGGAGACTACAGGATTCTGACCCTCCCCAAATTGCTCCTGGGGATAACATCACTATTATAAAATGAAATGTTAGTGCTTTAGATATTTTGCAGACCCTGCACTTGATGGATCAGCTGGCACCACCCAGATTGATAAACTGGCTCATCTGATTTTGGGGCCCCTACCCAGGAACTGACTCAGCCCAAGAAGACAGCTTTGACCCCTTATGATCTCACCTCCGACCCAACTAGTCAGCACTCCTGACTCACTGGTTTTCCCCCACCCTCCAAATTATCATTAAAAACGCCGATCTCTGTATGCTTGAATGCTTGGGGAGACTGATTTGAGTAATAATAAAACTCCAGTCTCCCGCAAAGCTGGCTCTGCATGAGTTACTTTCTTTACTGCAGTTCCCCTGTCTGGATAAATTAACTTTGTCTAGGCAGCAGACAAGGTGAACCCATGGGCAGTTACAAATTTGGGGCTTGCTGGGGCTTGCCCTTGTGGCTGCCTGCCCGTGGTTTGGTAGACTCCCTCCAGCAACAGATCCAGAGGCCAGCCCAAGTGGCCACCTAGTTCTCTTGGACTCTAGGCTCTACTGGTGGGGTGCTGCTGATCCAATGGGCATGGATTTAATTGCAATACAGAAATAGTCCTGGGAGATATCCCATAACTGTAGCTCCATGCTGGAATGTTTGTCTGTAGCCCCATGGTGGGGTGTCTGTCTCCAGCTCCACCACTGGATGTCTGAGACTCTAGCCCTATCACTGGGTGTCTGTCTGTAGCCCATCACGTAGTGTCTGTAGCTGTAGCCCCATTATGGGGTATCTGATTTGGTGAGTATTCTAGGTGCTGCCAACAGCCCCTTCCTTCTCCTATTTGTCAGCCTCTCTGGACGTGCTGCTGTCTCTTGGTTGCCTTGCAGGATGTCTGTCTGTAGCCCCATCATGGTGTGTCTGTTTTTAGCCCCATCACGAGATGTCTACTGGTGGGGTATCTAATTGGATGGAGAATAGGGGGACTTGTTTGGAGGAATACTCTTGGTTTGTGACTGGGTCTGGAATCTGTGTCTCAAAGGCCTTCTGTCTGTCTTGTCTTTGTTGTGTGTGTGTTTGTATATGTTGAGGGGATCTCTGAGGGAATTGCTGATGGAAGTCCAGCAGGCCTAACTCAGAGAACCCTCCGTAAGTCAGGTTACATCTGGTGAGCCCTGAAGAAAGCTCAACAGGCCTGACATGGGGTGACTGTCCACTCTTCATCTTGCCCAGAGACCACCCATTTAATTACCGGTTGGAAGTCATCCCTCTCCACTTGGAGTGGATCAAAGACTATAGGAACCAACATGAGAAAATTTGAGCCTTGCCAGGTCAATATTGGGTGCTGAACGAGGTGACTAGTGTCTGTTTAGTTATGTGTATTTTGCTTCGGCTGGGATGGAAAATATTAATTCAGTTCCCCATGCAACCCGTCAGGCAGCATCTTGCAAAAGTGAGAAGCTTTTGCCTACGGTTCCATAAAACAGAAATGGATGATTTTCTTTTGTAACAGGGCTTGGCCCCCACAGCTATGGCACAGTAAGCAGATTCATCAAAAGCTGCTCCATTCTTCTGGAAGCTTCAGAGAAAGGGAACACAGAAATCTGGTATGCTGGTAAAAAGGGTAAGAATTTCTCACCAGCCGAGTTTCTGGTCTCTGTCTCTCTCTCTCCTCTCTCTCTCTCTGTGTGTGTATGTGTGTGTGTGTATTTGTATAAATGATAAACATCACTGTTTGTCTCCTCTGCAAGGGTTTGATTAGTAGAAGAAAGCATTTGTGAGACTAGTCTTAGGTGGTAGCAAATCTGGTGTACTTTGTGCTAAGAATTTGTCTTTCTGTGTTCTTCTGTAATGGAGAGAAGGGAATCACAGAATAGAATGTGGGTTTAAGACTCCTGTAAGCCCACTTTTCAAGCCATCCTGGCAGGCTGCTCAGTTACAAACTTTGCTGTGTGTCCCTGAAACCAATACTAGATGAAATTTATCTGTTTGTTTTGTGTCCTTAAGAGCCCAATCTTGTGACCATGTGGGGATACTTTCTCTTGGTCTCTGCCACCCAGAGGACAGGAATTTGGGGATTCATGTCATAGTTAACCCTAAAAGTTATCTTGAGCAGTTAAAAGCCTTTGCAAGCTCAAAATTGGCTGCTCTAGGCTTCTTCTAGGAAGAGCAATAGAAATTGCTCAATGCTGTAACTCAGTAGCTAAGGCCTTGTCTTTTGACAATGGCATCCCAGGTTCAATTCTTGGCTTAGGGAATGAGTCTTTTCTGGTTTATTTGTGTAACTTTTTGACCCTTATTGATTCTTTTTCCCCCATGGACCACTTTTGATTTCTCCTCTTGAGTTTTCCTTTGAACTACCTTGGGAAGATTCTAAATCTTGTTAAAAAAAAAAAAAAAGAAAGAAACTGATTACTCTCTCTTTGAATCACCATGTGTATCCATTATAACCTTATTTAAAACATTAATTTCACATGGGAAGTTACCTGTGGTGAAGTTCAAAAGCAAGGAACATTGACTGTCTGTGCTGGCTAGAGTCTAGTAATTAGATATTTAAAAAATAATTTTTTAAAGAGCTGTATGGTTAAAATCAGCTTCATTAAAAGCAGATATCCAAACTGTACATATATTTAAAATACCTTTACTTTTTTTTCTCTTCTTGGATCTTATTTTTCTAAAGAAAAAAAAGGTTTTTTCTTCTCAGTTGACTGAATTGTTTTTCTCCACTTTTGTCTTCTCAACACTCTTGATGCCCACATGAAAGAACCTAAGATAAATTCTAACAGCCTGGGACTCTTAGGGAAAAACAGAGGAGGTGCCACAGACCCCATTCTGGGAAAAAGCTCTGTTTTTCTCATGGAACCCTAGGAATTGAAAGAGAATAGATCCCTCTCAAAATCTAAGGCTGTATTCTGTTTTATATTACATTACCTGACATTTTTTACTTTGGCAGGTATCAAAAATTACTTTGCATTATTTGAGAGCTTTTAGTCTTGGTGTGTAATAACCAGGTAGGAAATATACTTTAAGGGATAACTAATAGCAGTTAAGAGGGATACTTGGCTCTTGGATTTTTGGATTAGAGAAGCATGCTCTTGGCCACCTGGAAGGTATGGAAATATCCCCACCCCGAACTGAGAGGAGACTCCCATGGAGGATGGGCTGATTTCAAAATGGGCTAATTGGCTTTGGGTTGCTTTGCAATGACATGCATGGTAGAAGTATTGCACTATCTTCTCCCATAGTATTTCCCTCTTTTGGGGGGATCCAGGATGCAGTATACAAATGGCACCCTTAATTTTGGGGATATGTTTTTGCCTTCTAGCTATGCCTTCTTATTGGGCCCTAGAAATGCCATGCTTTCCTGGTGCTGTTCCTCCAAGGGTGTCACCTTGAAGCCAGTAATCCAATTAAGAAACTAGCAAATGAAAAATCTTACAAGTACCAGATCTTCTGTCTGTCTGTCTATGTATATGTGTTGTATGCATGATGTTTGTATAAAAGAGCTCTAATTGGCTTAGAAAAATAAGCACTTAAATCAAGTATTTTGTCAGAAAAATAGAAACTTTTTAATGCCTGTTTGTTCACATAATTTCAGTGATCTTTTGGAAATAAAAACAGTTTTAAAGATCACTGGTAAATAAAAAATGTCTTCACAATTTAGATGTTTGGTCTAAATAAGGTCAGATGTTAGGTTTGCTAAATGCTTTAAAGTCATAAACTGTTTCTTTGACTTTCGAAAATTGTTAGACTTACCTACTTTGGAGCCATTAGAAATTCTAGCTAAGGTCTGGGGACATGTGGAATTAGCCATGCCCCCTAGCTATGCTGGAGGCAGACCTTATCTGCATTTCTGTCTGATGTCCTAGGCTCCACACTTAGTACATAATTAAAACCACTTATTTATCAGGGTTTTCATCAAAAACAAAAGTTGCTAAGTGTTAACGTTGTAACGTGTAATTGAGACTGCTGGAGAAATTGTTTTACATGCAAGATGTGTAAGGAAAGTAGAATGTGCTTTAGCTAAAGGATTAAATAAGGTAAGGGAATATGGCTTTTGTCAAAGGGAATGTAATTTTGTCTAGTTCAGAGGGCTTTAAAGATCGTCTTAACCTAAAAGAGTAACAGGACAAAACTGAAGGTTTAAGCAAGTTGAAAAGTGTTTGTGAAGGGTTGGTCTTAAGTTTTGAAGGGGATTATTTAATTTTTTTCTGTATGTTGAACATAAAAGCACACTAATGCCGGGCCAGAATCTGGGCCCCTGTGTCTAAACAAAAGGGTTTTCTTAGAAAATTAATCTGCTGTTTAATGGAAAATTGTAAAGTGTTCTAAAAAAGTTTATAAAAACCTTACCTTATGGTCAAACTAATTAAAACTGGATAATTTATAACATTTTATTTAAAAACTAGCTTTAGCATTAAAGAGGCATTAATGCAAACATGAAATTTGGTTTTCTCTTTTGAAAAAGATTTTTGTGTTATTGATATATGTTCCAAAATTATGTGAAACTCCTGTAATTCTGATATGACTTTGTATATGTTATCATTAATAATTATAATTGCTATGTTAAATTATTGTGTTCCCCAGAAGTAACAAATTTCCTTGTCAATTGTGTCTTTAACTGTGGCTGGCCTAAAACTTTTTGTCATCCACAGACAATTATTGTCTTTTGATCCTCTTTAAATGGTTTTATAATCAGCTATAACACTCTGACAGGTGCTCTTAAATGCAGGTTTCTGAAAACTTTGGAGATTGTGACATTAGAATAGAGGAAAAACTTTCAGGACTCTCATTGAGAGCTGAAATGTTCATGAATACTAAGCAGAATGGAAGTTAACTGCATGGGCTGAACTAATAGAAGACTGAGGCAACTTTTTTTGACTTTTTGTTTAAAACATTGCTGATCATTTTTTGTTTTTCAGAGCCAAGAAAACCTTTCTTTTGAGCTATTTACAGCTTTTAATATTGAGTAAAGTACACATCTGTAAACAAAATTTGGAGCATATTTGATTCTCTCTTCCTGATTTTGCCAGGATTTGGTAACTATTTGTGAGTATTCTTATGGCAATATAGTTACTTCCATAAGTGCAATAAGAATGTTTTCATTTGCAACAGGACAAAATTGAAGAAACTGGTTATTTTACCAAGGCTTTGACTGGAATCGTATGCTTGCCTTTAAGGAATAAAAGCCTCTTGAGGCCAGGCATGGTGGCTCATGCCTGCAATCCCAGCACTTTAGGAGACCGGGGCAGGCAGATAGCTTGAGCTCAGGAGCTCAAGACCAACCTGGGCAACTTGGTGAAACCCCGTCTCTACTTAAAATACAAAAATTATCTGGGTGTGGTGGCACATGCCTGTAGTTCCAGCGACTTGGGAGGCTGAGGTGGGAGGATTGCTTGAGCCTGGGGGATGGAGTTGCAGTGAGCAGAGATTGCATCACTGCACTCCAGTCTGGGTGACAGAGCAAGATCCTGTCTCAAAAACAAAACAAAACAGAGAAAACAAAGCCCCTTGGGAAAACTGGCCTCATGCCTTGTCTACACAGTCCCTGTACAGGGTTCCTGATCTGTGGTGAGTAAAGAATGTCACTTTCTAACAGGCCCAGGAGCCCCAAGTTATCTTGGGACCTCAAGAGGAGAGGAATTGACCCAACTCATGGTTATTTGAGGGTACAAACCCATGGGCTTGGCCTGGCTTTAAAAAAGTCTTGTTTGAGATTCCTTATGGAACAGAGTTCCATCAAAGCCAATTTAAAAAGCCTATGTGAACAATAATTATTGTTGCTGCACTTATGCAAGTAATCAGGCAGAGCATAATAAGACTAAAACTTATTTTGCAAGTAAAGTTGACCTACTGTGATTTATTTTTAATTAAAAAATGGGGACTGGAGACAGAAAAATTATGCTCCAAAAATAAAAAACAATCATTGTTAGTTGTTCTTGAGTTTTTTCTGCAGTTTGGACTAAATCCTAAATTATTCATGGACTACAAGTCTCCAAATTAATGTTTTCAAATCTTTACTTTTAAAAGTTGGAATTGCATGCCTTATGCTAGAACTCATTATTTACTTTGTAGTGTGCTGTTCCCTTAAATGCAATACTAAAATTATAGATGACAATACTAACACATTTTTCAGCCATCCTGCGTGAGTATGTTCAGACAGTAGCAAAATGATTCCAGTCCTCTCACCTTGGGGTCAACACCTACCCCGACTATGCCCCTGGTCAGCAGGAAGAAGTTAGAGTGGTCTTTGCCCTTTCTCCATCTTCATTAGCCAACACCTTAAGATTAAGGTGTTATAAAACCCAAAGGAAGGGATTGAAAACGCCATTGCAAAAACATAACTGAGACAGTAAAAGAGATCCAACCTAACCAAGTCCGTCTTGCTTCTAACCTCCAAGCTGTCCTTGTTCATTCCTGGGCAAAGTCTGAAATAACTTTGTGGGGAACTTAGTTTTTTTGTTTTCTGTTTTTTTGAGACAGAGTCTCACTCTGTTACCCAGGCTGGAGTGCGGTGGCATGATATTGGCTTACTGCAACCTCTGCCTTCTGGGTTCAAGAGATTCTCATGCCTCAGCCTCCCAAGTAGCTGGGATTACAGGTGCCCACCACCATGCCCGGCTAATTTTTGTATTTTTAGTAGAGACAGGGCTTTGCCACGTTGGCAAGGCTGGTCTCAAAATCCTGACCTCAGGTGATATGCCTGCCTTGGCCTCCCAAAGTGCTGGTGAGAGGTGGAGCCAGCTGGACTTCCTGGGCCAAATGGGGACTTAAAGAACTTTTCTATCTTACAAGAGGATTGTAAAATGCACCAATCAGTGCTCTGTAAAAAAACACCAATCAGCATTCTGTAGCTAGCAAGGGGATTGTAAAATGCCCCATCAGTGCTTTGTAAAATGCACCAATCAGCAGGATCCTCAAAGTAGCCAATCACAGGGAGGATTGAAAAAAGGGTTTCTGATAGGATAGAAATGGAACATAGGAGGGGACAAATAAGGGAATAAAAGCTGGCCACACCCAGCCAGCAGCAGCAAGCTGCTCGGATCCCCTTCCATGCTGTGGAGGCTTTGTTCTTTTGCTCTTCAAAATAAGCCTTGCTAGTGCTCATTCTTTGGGTTGGTGTCACCTTTAAGAGCTGTAACACTCACCGCAAAGGTCTGCAGCTTCATTCTTGAAGTCAGCAAGGCCATGAACCCACAGTCAACCAACTCTGGACATATTTTGGGGGCTCATCCAGGATAGCATCATGCAGTGAGTACCATTTCACTTGCTATTCTGTCCTATTTTTCCTTAGAATTCGGGGGCTAAACACCAAGCACTTGTCAGCCAGTTAGAAGGAACTAGTGTGGCCCCCAGAATAAGACACGGGTGTCAGGCTTTCTAGGAAAGGGCTCTCTAAAAACCCCCCAACTCTTTGGAGTTAGGAGCATTGGTTTGCCTGGAAACAGCTTCTGCTTCTCCTGTACTTCCGGGCTGAGCTAAGGGTCAACAGAGAGGAAAGCCATTCACTCTGGGGTCCTAACAAAAGTTGGTTGACCTTGCAGCCATGAGCAGACTCTCAAAGTTACATCACCCAAGTGAGACTTGTCCATCTATCCTATCTATCCTGATCCTTGCCTCCTGGGTCCTAATGCCTGTCAGACAAACTTCCTCCTGCCTCTGTTCTCCAAGGGTAATCCTGCTTCTAAAAACCACTCCCTGTCCCTGGTGCTTTTCAAGTTTCTCCTATAAGAATTATTTTTGTATAAATTTCGGGACTCTGTTCCCTTTTTGAGGCACCCAGGCTCACCAATCAGAAAGACATAATTATTGCCCGAAGCCCTATCTCGGAGGGACTATCTGGAATTTTAGGATCCCTCTACAGACGAGTAGGCCTAACAAAGGCTATTCCCAAAGCTAAGATATGCAGAGCCTCAGAAATTATAGATTCCAAAATTGGGAGGGGGGATATCCTTCCTATTCATATGATGAGAAGTGAGGACAAAAGGCATCACTCTTACAACCCTGGCGATCCCTTCCCTCCTTCAAGTATGGCCCTCCACTCCATTTTGAGGCATATCTTCTCTATAGGACAAGGGTAAGGTCACAATACCAACAGAAGAAAATGCTTAGGACTCTTAACTAACAGGTTTTCGAGAATGTGTAAGGGCCACTGAATCCGATTTTTCTCGGTCCTCTTTGTGGTCTAAGAGGAAAGGCAAGGGTGCAGGTTTTCGAGAATGCATTGGTAAGGGCCACTAAATCTGACCTTCCTCAGTCCTCTTTGTCGTCTAGGAGGAAAACTAGTGTTTCTGCTGCTGCTTCAGTGAGCACAACTATTCTGAACAGCAGGGTCCAGGGACCGTTGCAAGTTTTTGGTCAGGGATAAAAAAATGAACCAAAATCATGGGCAGTTTTTTCTTTTAGATGGGAAACACTCAGGCATCAAACAGGCTCACACTTGAAATGCATCCTAAGCCATTGGGATGAATTTGACCTGCAAGCCCTGAAAAAGAAGAGGCTTATTTTTTTCTGCACTGTGGCCTGGTCCCAATATTCTCTCTCTGATAGGGAAAAATGGCCACCTGTGGAAAGTATAAATTACAGTATTATCCTGCAGCTTGACTTTTTCTGTAAGATGGAAGGCAAATGGAGTGAAATACCTTATGTCCAAGCTTTCTTTTCACTGAAGGACAATCCACAACTATGCAAAGCTTGCAACCTACATTCCACAGGAGGACCTCTCAGCTTACCCCCATATCCTAGCCTCCCTACAGCTCCTCTTCCTATTAATGATGAGCCTCCTCTAATCTCCCCCACCCAGAAGGAAACAAGCAAAGAAATCTCCAAGGGGCCACAAAAACCTCTGGGCTATTGGTTATGTTCTTTTCAAGCTGTAGGGGGAGGGGAATTTGGCCCAACCTGGGTACATGTCCCCTTCTCCCTCTCTGATTTAAAGCAGATCAAGGTAGATCTGGGGAAGTTTTCAGATGATCCTGATAGGTATATAGATGTCCTACAGGGTCTAGGGCAAAACTTCGACCTCACTTGGAGAGATGTCATGCTATTGTTAGATCAAACCCTGGCCTTTAATGAAAAGAATGCAGGTTTAGCTGCAGCCTGAGAGTTTGGAGATACTTGGTATCTTAGTCAAGTAAATGATAGAATGACAGCCAAAGAAAGGGACAAATTCCCTACCAGTCAGCAAGCCATCACCAGTATTGATCCCCACTGGGACCTTGACTCAGATCATGGGAACTGGAGTCGCAAACATCTGTTAACCTGTGTTCTAGAATGACGAAGAGAATTAGGAAAAAGCCCATGAATTATTCAATGATGTCCACCATAACTCAGGGAAAGGAAGAAAATCCATCCACCTTCCTCGAGTGGCTATGGGAGGCCTTAAGAAAATATACTCCCCTGTCCTCTGACTCCTTTGAGGGTCAATTAATCCAAAAGGATAAGTTTATTATGCAACCAGCTGCAGATATCACGAGAAAGCTCCAAAAGTGAGCCCTGGGCCCTGAACAAAATCTGGAGGCATTATTAAAGCTGGCAACCTTGGTGTTCTATCACAGGGACCAAGAGGAACAGGCTGAGAAGGAAAAGCGAGATCAGAGAAAGGCCACAGCCTAACTCATGGCCCTCACATGAACAAACCTTGGTGGTTCAGAGAGGAGAGAAAATGGAGAAGGCCAATAACCTGGTAGGGCTTGTTATCAGTGTGGTTTGCAAGAACACTTCAAAAAAGATTGTCCAATGAGAAACAAGCCACCCTCTCGCCCATGTCCACTATGCCAAGGCAATCACTGGAAGATGTCCTGGAGGACAAAGGTTCTCTAGGCCAGAACCCCCAACCAGATGATCCAACAACAGGACTGAGGATGCCCAAGGCAAGTGCCAGCTCATGTCATCACCTTCTCTGAGACTCGGGTAACTTTAACCATTGAGGGCCAGTGAATTGATTTCCTCCTGGACACTGACACTGCCTTCTCAGTGTTACTCTCCTGCCCCGGACCACTGTCCTCAAAGTCCATTACCATCCGAGGAATCCTGGGACAGCCTGTAACCAGGTATTTCTCCCACCTCCTCAGTTGTAATTCAGAGACTTTGCTCTTTTCACATGCCTTTCTTGTTATGCCTGAAAGTCCCACACTCTTATTAGGGAAGGACGTGTTAGCCAAAGCTGGAGCTATTACTGATATGATATGAATATGGGGGACAAGTTACCCATTTGTTGTCTCCTACTTGAGGAGGGAATCAACTCTGAAGTCTGGGCATTGGAAGGACAATTCAGAAGGGCAAAAAATGCCCAGCCAGTTCGAATCAGGCTAAAAGACCCCACCACTTTTCCTTATCAAAGGCAATATCCCTTAAGGCCCAAAGCTCATAAAGGTTTACAGTATATTGTTAGACATTTAAAAGCTCAAGGCTTAGTAAGAAAATGCAATAGGCCCTGCAACACTCCAATTCTAGGAGTACAAAAAGCAAATGTTCAGTGGAGACTAGTGCAAGATCTTAGTCTCATCAATGAGGCAGTAATTTCTCTATATCCAGTTGTAGCCAACTCCTATACCCTGCTCTCTCAAATACCAGAGGAAGCAGAATGGTTCACTATTCTGGACCTCAAGGATACCTTCTTCTGCATTCTCCTGCACTCTGACTCCCAGTTTCTCTTTGCCTTTGAGGATCCCACAGACCACACATCCCAATTTACGTGGACAGTCTTGCCTCAAGGGTTTAGGGATAGCCCTCATCTGTTTGGTCAGGCACTGGCCCAAGATGTAGGCCACTTCCCAAGTCCAGGAACTCTGGTCCTTCAGAATGTGGATGATTTATATTTTTTATTATTACTATACTTTAAGTTCTAGGGTACATGTGCACAACATGCAGGTTTGTTACATAGGTTACATGTGCCATGTTGGTTTGCTGCAACCATCAACTCGTCATTTACATTAGGTATTTCTCCTAATGCTATCCCTCCCCCTGCCCCCCACCCCATGACAGGCCCCCGTGTGTGATGTTCCCCACCGTGTGTCCAAGTGTTCTCATTGTTCAATTCCCAACCATGAGTAAGAACATGCAGTGTTTGGTTTTCTGTCCTTGTGATAGTTTGCTGAGAATGATGGTTTCCAGCTTCATCCATGTGCCTGCAAAGGACATGGACTCATCCTTTTTTATAGCTGCATAGTATTCCCTGGTGTATATGTGTCACATTTTCTTAATCCATGCTATCATTGGTGGACATTAGGGTTGGTTCCAAGTTTTTGCTATTGTGAATAGTGCCACAATAAACATACGTGTGCATGTGTCTTTATAGTAGCATGACTTTTAATCCTTTGGGTATATACCCAGTAATGGGATGGCTGGGTCAAATGGTATTTCTAGTTCTAGATCCTTGAAGAATCACCACCACACTGTCTTCCACAATGGATGAACTAGTTTACACTCCCACCAACAGTGTAAAAGCATTCCTATTTCTTCACATCCTCTCCAGCATCTGTTGTTTCCTGACTTTTTAATGATCACCATTCTAACTGGTGTGAAATGGTATCTCATTGTGGTTTTCATTTGCATTTCTCTGATGACCAGTGATGATGAGCATTTTTCCATGTGCCTGTTGGCTACATAAATGTCTTCTTTTGAAAAGTGACTGTTAATATCCTTTGCCCACTTTTTGATGGGTGGTTTGTTTTTGTCTTGTACATTTGTTTAAGTTCTTTGTAGATTCTGGATATTAGCCCTTTGTCAGATGGGTAGATTGCAAAAATTTTCTCCCATTCTGTAGGTTGCCTGTTCACTCTGATGATAATTTCTTTTGCTGTGCAGAAGCTCTTTAGTTTAATTAGATCCCATTTGTTTTGGCTTTTCTTAACATTGCTTTTGGTGTTTTAGTCATGAAGTCCTTGCCCATGCCTATATCATGAATGGTATTGCCTAGGTTTTCTTCTAGGGTTTTTATGGTTTTAGATCTAACATTTAAGTCTTTAGTCCATCTTGAATTAATTTTTGTATAAGGTGTAAGGAAGGGATCCCATTTCAGCTTCCTACATATGGCTAGCCAGTTTCCCCAGCACGTTTATTAAATAGAGAATCCTTTCCCCATTGCTTGTTTTTGTCAGGTTTGTCAAAGATCAGGTGGTTGTAGATGTGTGGTGTTATTTCTGAGGCCACTGTTCTGTTCTATTGGTCTATATATCTGTTTTGGTACCAGTACCATGCTGTTTTTGTTGCTGTAGCCTTGTAGTATAGTTTGAAGTCAGGTAGCATGATGCCTCCAACTTCATTCTTTTTGGTTAGGATTTTCTTGGCAATACAGGCTACAGGCTCTTTTTTTGTTTCCATATGAACTTTAAAGTAGTTTTTTCCAATTCTGTGAAGAAAGTCATTGGTAGCTTGATGGGGATGGCATTGAATCTATAAACTACCTTGGGCAGTATGGCCATTTTCATGATATTGATTCTTCCTATCCATGAGCATGGAATGTTCTTCCATTTGTTTGTGTCCGCTTTTATTTCGTTGAGCATTGGTTTGTGGTCCTCCTTGAAGAGGTCCTTCACATCCCTTGTAAGTTGGATTCCTAGGTATTTTTTTCTCTTTGTAGAAATTGTTAATGAGAATTCACACATGATTTGGCTCTGTTTGTCTGTCATTGCCGTATAGGAATGCTTGTGATTTTTGCACATGGATTTTGTATCCTGAGACTTTGCTGAAGTTGCTTATCAGCTTAAGGAGATTTTGGGCTGAGACGATGGGGTTTTCTAAATATACAGCCATGTCATCTGCAAACAGGGACAATTTGACTTCCTCTTTTCCTAATTGAATGGCATGAACCCAGGAGGCGGAGCTTTCTCTTGCCTGATTGCCCTGGCCCATCTTCCAACACTATGTTGAATAGGAGTCGTGAAAGAGGGCATCCTTCTCTTGTACCACTTTTCAAAGGGAATGCTTCCAGTTTTTGCCCATTAAGTATGATATTGGCTGTGGGTTAGTCATAAATAGCTCTTATCATTTTGAGATATGTTCCATCAATACCTAGTTTATTAGAGATTTAGCATGAAGGGCTGTTGAATTTTGTAAAGGCCTTTTCTACGTCTATTGAGATAGTCATGTGGTTTTTGTCGTCGGTTCTGTTTATGTGATGGATTATGTTTATTGATTTGCATATGTTGAACCAGCCTTGCATCCCAGGGATGAAGCCAACTTGATCATGGTGGATAAGCTTTTTGATGTGCTGCTGGATTTGGTTTGCCTGTATTTTATTGAGGATTTTTGCATCGATGTTCATCAGGGATATTGGTCTGAAATTCTCTTTTTTTGTTGTGTCTCTGCCAGGCTTTGGTATCAGGATAATGCTGGCCTCATAAAATGAGTTAGGGAGGATTCCCTCTTTTTCTATTGTTTGGAATAGTTTCAGAAGGAATGGTATCAGCTACTCTTTGTACCTGTGGTAGAATTTGGCTGTGAATCCGTCTGGTCCTGGACTCTTTTTGATTCATAGGTTATTAATTATTGTCTTAATTTCAGAACCTGTCATTGTTCTATTCAGAGATTCAACTTCTTACTGGTTTAGTCTTGGGACAGTGTGTGTGTCCAGGAATTTATCCATTTATTCTAGATTTTCTAGTTTATTTGCATAGAGCTTTTTATAGTATTCTCTGATGGTAGTTTGTATCTGTGGGATCAGTGGTGATATCCCCTTTATCATTTTTTATTGTGTCTATTTCATTTTTTCTCATTTCTTCTTTATTAGTCTTGCTAGCAGCCTATCAATTTTGATGATCTTTTCAAAAAACCAGCACCTGGATTCATTAATTTTTTAAGGGTTTTTTGTGTCTCTATCTCCTTCACTTCTGCTCTGATCTTAGTTATTTCTTGCCTTCTGCTAGCTTTTGAATGTGTTTGCTCTTGCTTCTCTAGTTCTTTCAATTGTGATGATAGGGTGTTGATTTTAGATCTTTCCTGCTTTCTCTTGTGGGCATTTAGTGCTATAAATTTCCCTCTACACACTGCTTTAAGTGTGTCCCAGAGATTCTGGTACGTTGTGTCTTTGTTCTCATTGGTTTCAAGGAACATCTTTATTTCTGCCTTAATTTCTTTGTTTACCCAGTAGTCATTCAGGAACAGATTGTTCAGTTTTCATGTAGTTTTGCAGTTTTGAGTGAGTTCCTTCATCCTGAGTTCTACTTTGTTTGCACTGTGGTCTGAGAGACAGTTTGTTGTGATTTCTGTTCTTTTACATTGGCTGAGGAGTGCTTTGCTTCCAACTATGTGGTCAATTTTTGAAGAAGTGCGATGTGGTGCTGAGAAGAATGTGTATTCTGTTGATTTGGGGTGGAGAGTTCTGTAGATGTCTCTTAGGTCTTCTAGGTGCAGAGCTGAGTTCAAGTCCTGGATATCCTTGTTAACCTTCTGTCTTGTTGATCTGTCTAATATTGACAGTGGGGTGTTAAAATCTCCCATTATTATTGTGTGGGAGTCTAAGTCTCTTCGTAGGTCTCTAAGGACTTGCTTTATGAATCTGGGTGCTCCTGTATTGGGTGCATATATATTTAGGGTAGTTAGCTCTTCTTGTTGAATTGATCCCTTTACCATTATGTAATGGCCTTCTTTGTCTCTTTTGTTCTTTGTTGGTTCAAAGTCTGTTTTATCAGAGACTAGGATTGCAACCCCTGCTTTTTCTTTGCTTTCCATTTGCTTGGTAGATCTTCCTCCATCCCTTTATTTTGAGCCAATGTGTGTCTGCATGTGAGATGGGTCTCCTGAATACAGCACACTGATGGGTCTTGACTCTTTATCCTATTTGTCAGTCTGTGTCTTTTAATTGGGGAATTTATCCCACTTACATTTAAGGTTAATATTGCTATGTGTGAATTTGATCCTGTCATTATGATGTTAGCTGGTTATTTTGCCCATTAATTGATACAGTTTCTTCCTAGCATCGATGATCTTTAAAATTTGGCATGTTTTTTTGTTTGTTTGTTTTTTGTTTTTTGTTGTTTTTTTTTGAGACAGAGTCTCACTCTTTTGCCCAGGCTGGAGTGGAGTGGCATGATCTTGGCTCACTGCAAGCTCTGCCTCCTGGGTTCATGCCATTCTCCTGCCTCAGCCTCCTGAGTAGCTGGGACTACAGGTGCCCACCACCATGCCTGGCTAATTTTTTGTATTTTTAGTAGAGACAGGGTTTCACCATCTTAGCAAGGATGGTCTCGATTTCCTCACCTTGTGATTCACCCACCTTGGCCTCCCAAAATGCTGGGATTACAGGTGTGAGCCACTGTGCCCAGCCAAAACTTGGCATGTTTTTGCAGTGGCTGGTACCGGTTGCTCCATTCTATGTTTAGTGCTTCCTTCAGGAGATCTTGTAAGGCAGGCCTGGTGGTGACAAAATCTCTGAGCACTTGCTTGTCTGTAAAGGGTTTTATTTCTCCTTCACTTATGAAAATTAGTTTGGCTGGATATGAAATTCTGGATTGAAAATTCAGAATTTTTTTCTTGAAGAATTCTTTTCTTGAAGAATGTTGAATATTGGCCCCTACTCTCTTCTGGCTTGTAGAGTTTCTGCCGAGAGATCTGCTGTTAGTCTGATGGGCTTCCCTTTGTGGGTAACCAGACCTTTATCTCTGGCTGCCCTTAACTTTTTTCCTTCATTTCAACCTTGGAGCATCTGACAAGTATGTGTATTGGGGTTGCTGTTCTCGAGGATTATCTTTGTGTTGTTCTCTGTATTTCTCGAATTTAAATGTTGGCCTGCCTTGCTAGGTTGGGGAAGTTCTCCTGGATAATATCCTGAAGAGTGTTTTCCTACTTGGTTCCATTCTCCCTGTCACTTTCAGGTATACCAATCAAACATAGATTTTGGTCTTTTCACGTAGTCCCTGTTTTTTGGAGGCTTCGTTCATTTCCTTTCACTCTTTTTTCTCTAAACTTCTCCTCTCACTTTATTTCATTAATGTGATCTTCAATCACTGATATCCTTTCTTCCACTTGATCAAATCAGCTATTGAAGCTTGTGCATGCATCATGTAGTTCTCGTGCCATGGTTTTCAGCTCCATCAGGTTGTTTATCATCTTCTTTACACTGTTTGTTCTAGTTTTCCTTTCATGTAATCTTTTTTCAAGGTTTTTAGCTTCTTTATGAAGGGTTCGAACATCCTCCTTTAGCTCAGAGAAGTTTATTACCAACCTTCTGAAGCCTACTTCTGTCAGCTCATCAAAATCATTCTCCGTCCAGCTTTGTTCCATTGCTGGTGAGAAGCTGCTATCCTCTGGAAGAGAAGAGGTGCACTGGTTTCCAGTAAATTCCACTATTCTGCTCTGGTTTCTCCCCATCTTCGTGGTTTTATCTACCTTTGGTCTTTGAGGCTGGTGACCTACAGATGGGGTTTTGGTGTGGATGTCCTTTTTGTTGATGTTGATGTTATTCCTTTCTGTTTGTTAGTTTTCCTTCTAAGAGTCAGGTCCCTCAGCTGAAGGTCTGTTGGAGTTTGCTGGAGGTCATCTCCAGACCCTGTTTACCTGGGTATCACCAGCAGAGGCTGCAGAACAGCAAATATTGCAGAAGAGCAAATGTTGCTGCCTGATCCTTCCTCTGGAAGCTTCATCCCAGAGGGGCACTCACCTGTATGAGGTGTCTGTCAGCCCCTACTGGGAGGTGTCTCCCAGTTAGGCTACACGGGGAACAGGGACCCACTTGAGGAGGCAGTCTGTCCATTCTCAGAGCTCAGAAACCATGCCAGGAGAGCCATTGCTCTCTTCAGAGCTGTCAGACAGGGACATTTATGTCTGCAGAAGTTTCTGCTGTCTTTTGTTCAGCTATGCCTGCCCCCAGAGGTGGGGTCTACAGAGGCAGCAGGCCTTGCAGAGCTGCAGTGGGCTCTGCCCAGTTCAAACTTCCCCAGCCACATTGTTTACCTACTCAAGCCTCAGCAATGGTGGACGCCCCTCCCCTACCAGGCTGCTGCCTCAGACTGCTGTGCTAGCAGTGAGAAAAGCTGTGTGGGCTTGGGATCCACCAAGCCAGGTGCGGGATATGATCTCCTGGTGTGCCGTTTGCTAAGATTGTTGGAAAAGCACAGTATTTGGGTGACAGTGTCCTGATTTTCCAGGTACAGTCTGTCACAGCTTTCTTTGGCTAGGAAAGGGAAATTCCCTGACCTCTTGTGCTTCCTGGGTGAGGCGATGCTCTGCCCCACTTCGGCTTGCCCTCCATGGGCTGCACCCACTGTCCAACCATTCCCAATGAGATGAACTAGGTCCAACAGTTGGAAATGCAGAAATCACCGTCTTCTGCATCAATCACCCTGGGAGCTGCAGATCGGAGCTATTCCTATTCAGCCATCTTGGAATGGAATTTGGATGATTTACTTTTGGCTACCAGTTTGGAAGCCTCATGCCAGCAGGCTACTCTAGATCTCTTGAACTTTCTAGCTAATCAAAGGTGCAAGGCATCTAAACTGAAAGCCCAGCTCTGCCTACAACAAGTCAAATATCTAGGCCTAATCTTAGCCAGAGGAACCAGGGCCCTCAGCAAGGAACAAACACAGCCTATACTGCCTTATCCTTGCCCTAAGACATTAAAACAGTTGCGGGGGTTCCTTGGAATCACTGGCTGTTGCTGACTATGGATCCCCGGATACAGTGAGATGGCCAGGCCACTCTATATGCTAATCAAGGAGACTCAGAGGGCAAATACTCATCTAGTAGAATGGGAACAAGAGGCAGAAACAGCCTTCAAAATCTTAAAGCAGGCCCTAGTACAAGCTCCAGCCTTAAGCCTTCCCACAGGACAAAACTTCTCTTTATACATCACAGAGAGAGTGGGAATAGCTCTTGGAGTCCTTATTCAGACTCGTGGGACAACCCCACAACCAGTGGCATACCTAAGTAAGGAAATTGAGGTAGTAGCAAAAGGCTGGCCTCACTGTTTACAGGTAGTTGTGATGGTTGCTATCTTGGTATCAGAGGCTATCAAAATAATTCAAGGAAAGGATCTCACTGTCCGGACTACTCATGATGTAAACAGCATACTAGGTGCCAAAGGAAATTTGTGGCTATCAGACAACCGCCTGCTTAGATACCAGGTGCTACTCCTTGAGGGACCAGTGCTTCAAATATGCAGGTGTGCGTCCCTCAACCCTGCCACTTTTCTCCCATGGGATGGGGAACCAATCAAGCATGACTGCCAATAAATTGTAGCCCAGACTTATGCCACCCAAGAGGATCTTTTAGAAGTCCCCTTAGCTAATCCTGACTTTAATCTATATACCAATGGAAGTTCATTTGTGGAGAATGGGATACAAAGGACAGGTTATGCCATAGTTAGTGATGTAACAGTACTTGAAAGTAAGCGTCTTCCCCCAGGGACCAGCACCCAGTTAGCAGAACTGGTGGCACTTATCCGAGCCTTAGAACTGGGAAAGAGAAAAAGAATAAATGTGTATACAGATAGAAAGTATGCTTATCTATTCTACATGCCCATGCTGCAATATGGAAAGAAAGGGAGTTCCTAACCTCTGGGGGAACCCCTATTAAATACCCCAAGGAAATCATGAAGTTATTGCACCCAGTGCAAAAACCCAAGGAGGTGGCAGTCTTCCACTGTCAAAGCTGTCAAAAAGGTGAAGGAGAAAAGGCAGAAGGAAACCATCAGGCAGACACTGAGGCCAAAATTGCTGCCAGGTGGAAACTCCCATTAGAAATACCTATGGAAGGACCCTTGGTATGGAACAACCGTCTCCAAGAGATTAAGCCCCAGTGTTCCCCAACCAAAACAGAATGGGGACTTTCATGGTGGTATAGTTTTCTCCCCTAGGGTGGTTAATGACAGAAGAGGGAAAAGTACTCATGCCCAAAGCCAGCCAGTGGAAAATACTTAAGAACCTTCACCAAACTTTTCATATGGGTATTGAGAACACTCATCAAATGGCCAAATCCCTATTTATGGGGCCAAATCTCCTCCAGACCATCCAACAAGTAGTCAAAGCCTGTGAGGTGTGCCAAAGGAATAATCCCTTGGTCCATCATAAGGCCCCTCTGGGGGAACAAAGAATAGGGCATGATCCTGGAGAGGACTGGCAGTTAGACTTCACCCATATGCCTAAGTCAAGGGGATTTCAATACTTGGTCTGTGTTGATATCTTTACAAATTGGACAGAAGCCTTCCCCTCCAAGACAGAGAAGCCTTGGGAAGTGGTTAAAGTCCTAATTCATGAAATAATTCCTAGATTTGGGTTTCCCCAAAGCTTACCAAGAATACCCTAACAGGACGTGCAATCCAGCTTTTACATTTCCAACCTCACCTATTACATGAGCAATGAAAAGTCCATACACGGCCCTGTAACCATGAATACTGTCTTAACTTTCAAAGCCCCTTTATGCCTCCAGCACAACCTGTTATCAGGCCTGCCCCTGGGGCACCTACTATCCCATCAGTGTAATTACACCCTACAACTTCAAGCCCCAACTGATCATAGTAACTTCTGAGTCACCCAAACAGCTCCATTCAGATGGCTTGTCCGCTTCTCAGGGCCTCCAAAAATCATTACCTCCTCCCTGCTTAACAAACAGTCCGGGTTTTGTAATGGCAAACATACTCCCTGCATGACCATTCACCCCTGGTCCCCCTGCAGCAATGCCCCCACCATTAATTATTGCCTTCTCATCCCCTCTTTCAATCACTCCCTTGAATGGTTCGTAGTTGATACAAAATGATTTTTTCTCCAATGGGAAAATGGAACACAGGGAGCCACTCAATTTGCTCCTAACACCCCTTTCCAGCCACTCACAAGAGCTACCTTGGCAAGTACTCTAGGAGTATGGGAAAATGAAAACAACAAACTCACACAGCTTTTTAACATACACAACCAGTTCTGTCTACAGCCAAGGCATATTCTTCTTATGCAGAACTTCAACCTATATCTGCCTCTCCACCAACTGGACAGGCACCTGCACCTTAGTCTTCCTAAGTCCCAACATTGACATTGCCCCAGGAAATCAAACCCAATCAATGCCCCTCAAAGCTCAAGTCCATCAGTGCAGGGCCATACAACTAATACCCTTCCTTATAGGGTTAGGAATGGTCACTGCTACAGGAACTGGAATAGCAGGTTTGTCCACTTCACTATCCTACTACCACACACTCTCAAAGGATTTCTCAGACAGTTTGTGAGAAATAACAAAATCTATCCTTACTCTACAATCCCAAATAGATTCTTTGGCAGCAGTGATTCTCCAAAACCGCTGAGGCCTAGACCTCCTTGCTGCTGAGAAAGGAGGACTTTGCACCTTCTTAGGGGAAGAGTGTTGCTTTTACACTAACCAGTCAGGGATAGTATGAGCATTTACAGGAAAAGGCTTCTGAAATCACACAGTGCCTCTCAAACTCTTAGACCAACCTCTGGAGTTGGGCGACATGGCTTCTCCCCTTTCTAGGTCCTGTGACAGCCATCTTGCTATTACTCACCTTCGGGCCCTGTATTTTATTTTATTTATTAATTTTTTTGAGATGGAATCTCACTCTGTCACCCAGGCTGGAGTGCAGTGGTGTGATCTTGGCTCACTGCAAGCTCCACCTCCCAGGTTCATGCCATTCTCCTGCCTCAGCCTCCCAAGTAGCTGGTACTACAGGCACCTGCCACCATGCCCGGCTAATTTTTTGTATTTTTAGTAGAGACGGGGTTTCACCGTGTTAGCCAGGATGGTCTTGATCTCCTGACCTCATGATCCGCCCGCCTTGGCCTCCCAAAGTGCCGGGATTCAGGCATGAGACACTGCGCCCAGCCCAGTCCCTGCATTTTTAACCTCCTTGTCAAATTTGTTTCCTCCAGGATCGAGGCCATCAAGCTACAGATGGTCTTACAAATGGAACCCCAAATGAGCTCAATTCACAACTTCTACGAAGGACCCCTGGATCAACCTACTGGCCCTTTGACTGGCCTAAAAAGTTCCCCTCTGGAGGACACTACAACTGCAGGGCCCCTTCTTTGCCCCTATCCAGCAGGAAGTAGCTAGATCAGTCATCGCCCAATTCCCAACAGCAGTTGGTATGTCCTGTTTAGAGGGAGGATTGAGAAGTGAAGCCAGCTGAACTTCCTGGGTTGAGTGGAGACTTGGAGAACTCTTCTGTCTTGCAAGAGGATTGTAAAAAGCCTTGTCCCGCCCCTGCATGCGCTGCCTCTCCCAGGCCCCGCCTTCCACCCAGTGTCTTGGACCCTCAGCTGGGCAGCACCACCAGAGCAACCATACATCCTGCATGTTCCAGGCCTCACTCGAGAGGCAAAAAAGCTCCATGGCGGCGGCGGCCAAGCCCAAGAACCTCTCCCTGGTGGTGCACGGACCAGGTGACTTGCGCCTGATAAGCCTGGAAGGAGGGTGGGAAGCCTACCAACCCTGACTCACTCTCCTCTGAGCCCAGCCACAGTCCTGGCTTCCCACTTACAGCCCAGCACCGGCCCCGCAACTTAAGCGCCCTGGCTGCCCAGATCCCAGTTCCCCTCAGGATGTGGGGGTGGCGGGTAGTGGCTGTTGCGAAGAGCAGGGATCTAGTTGTGTACCTCCGAGAACCTAGCCCCATGGCTGGCACGTGGCCGGTGCCCAGGATGGTTGCAAACTGTTTGAATGAAGCTTTCTCTCTCCTTTGCCAGCTGCAGATTCATAGTCCAGCCTCTCGTCATTGACCTTTTCAAAGAAAATGCTAAGGCTGTCTGAATTATCCGGGCAGACAGTGCAAAGCAGAAAGGGGGGCCAGAGGACACTTAAAAACAGCAGAACTTATATTTAACTCCCCTTGCTTGGAACTGATAAACCTCCCTTGCAGGATTATTATGATCACAAGAGTACTCAGCACTTAGTACGTGCTCAGGAAGTGCCAGCTCCTTCTCCTTTCCTTCCAGTATAGACCACCATCTCCAGAACTCCTGGTGTTCCTCTTGCCTGTGCCAGACTTCTGAACCTTGGTAGTCCCCTTGTCTGTAAGGCTCCTTCTCTCCCTAAGTCCCTATCTGGTTTACTTTCCAGCAGTTTTTCTTTCTAATCCCGTGCCTCTGTCCCTTTAGGAGCATTCTGTATGTGTGTCCTCTGCTTTAGACCCTGCCTTTTGCTTCCTGTTTTGTGGCACCAAAGTTTAGGAAGTGGCGGAGTCAGCACCCTGGTCATGCCAAGGCTCCCTTGACAAAGTGCTTCTCAG
The DNA here is from genome assembly GCF_000001405.40 of Homo sapiens. Lineage (NCBI taxonomy): Eukaryota > Metazoa > Chordata > Mammalia > Primates > Hominidae > Homo > Homo sapiens. The sequence continues at coordinate 192,817 of NT_187605.1, read as the reverse complement.
ATGGGCCTGGGATGGCAGTGGGTATGTGGGATGAGTGCCAGCCATCTCTGCTGCTCCCCTGTACCTCCTCTCCCTCAAAGTACATGCATCAGTATGTAAATTGCAGTAATTCAGAAGCTTATCCAGATTGGCAGTTCTTGACTATTTAAGAATCAGTAGTGTCCCTTCGACAGAATGCAAAGAGACTGAGTTTGGCAACAATTTCAGATTGTTCAAGGACTCCCTTTAAGCCACTCTAAGCCCCTCTATAGAACCCTTGTCCCAGCTGACTCTCCATCTCCTCAGTTGAAGAAAGTGCCATACCCAAGGTGATAGGTTTTGTTAGTTAACAGAGCCACGACAAGGACTCAGATGTTCAGACTCCCCATTCTAGTGCTCATTCCACTCTTTGGAGCCTCCACCCAAGGTCCTGAATTAAAGTGAGGCTGTTAGTGTTTACTGTTGCAAATGCCAGATGGTATTATGAGTAAGGGAAAGTGGTCCAGCTCTACCCAGCTTGCAGAGTGATTTCCAACTCAGTACTTCATTCCACAAACATTCACTCATGAAAGGGTGCCTGCCATGTGCCAGGCACTGGGCTGAGGGCCCAGAGAGGAGGACACAGCCCCTGCTCCCAAGTTTACTGAGGGAGGCAGACAGATAAAGTCAACAATTATGACAGAGCCCGAGGGCTTTGATGGAGGCCTCAGAGAGAAAAGACCCCACAGAGAAAAGACCCCAAGAGAAAAGAACCTTGGCCCTCTATCTGCTCAGAGCCTGCTTAAAAGTCATGCGCCTAAGGTGCAGAAACACAGTTACGTTCTCCTTCATCTTACCTCAAACTCATGGTCTTCCACTGCTCAGGCAGACTACCTCTACTATGGTTCCGTAGACAAAGCTTTGAAGATTAGAGCAGCAGCGAACTAACCTTGATCTCATCAGCTTTGCATTAGAACCCACTCTCTGACTGGATTAGGGGCTAGGTTGGGGTGGCTGTAACCTAAAAGATCTAGAAAATATGATGGGCTATTTCACCTGTGGTTGTGTGCTGGTACACTAACTGGGTAAAAGAGTTCAGAGGAGGATTTAGGAAATGACACCTAGGCTCAGTTTGAGAATGGGAAGTGGTAGGGTCATTTACTGGTCAGAGTAGATTAAAATGATATCAGGTTTGAAAAGTTGAGTTTAAGATGTCTCTGGAGGCCAGCTGTGGTAGTTCATGCCTGTAATCCCAGCACTTTTAGAGGCCAAGGTACGCAGATCACTTGAGGTTAGGAGTTTGAGACCAACCTGGCCAACTCGGTGAAACTCTGTCTCTACTATAAATACAAAAATTAGCTGGGTGTGGTGCCACATGCCTGTAATCCCAGCTACTTGGGAGGCTGAGAATCGCTTGAGTCTGGGAGTCAGAGATTGCAATGAACTGAGATCGTACCACTGCACTCCAGCCTGGATGACAGCAAAACTCTGTCTAAAAAAAAAAAAAAAAAAAAAAAAAAGATGTCTCTGGGACAGGACACAAGGTGCCTTTGAGAAATTTCCTTGGGTGCAAGGATCTGGAGTGCAGGGATACTAACTATCTTGGTTGGAAATGTAAACTCAGGAGTCCTTTGCTCCTCTACTGAGCAGTACTACACTGCCCCCCTGACCCAGAGGGCATTTGGAAATGTGTCAGGGAGGTTTGGTTGTCACGATGACTGAGGAGCACTACTGCGGACTTTATTCAGTTCATAGCACTGTCCTGCACAACAAAGAGTTGTCCTGTCCCAAATAGTGCCCTATGGGGAATTATGGATGGCTGAGCTTGCCTGGGCTGAGTGAACCATGTAGAGTGAGAAGGAAAGAAGAGGAGGACATTACCCTGGAGAGAGCCCCAACACTGGAGGGGAAAGGGCAGAAAGAGTTGTCAGCAGAGGAGACCCACTGTGCTGCCTCAGGTGCACCTGCAGCTCAACACAGACCTTCTGGGCCCTCACCACTCCTTCTCAGGCATGGTCTTCCACCAGCACCTCCACAGTGCCCAACCCGGACCCCCAATGTGGTATCACTGCTCCTCCACCTTTTCCATAAGACAAATAGGCTCACTGGCTTGGGTTTGGGGTCAGTAGTGAACCAGAGATAGCAACTAGGAGGAACAATCCTGGGTAAGCTTTGAGGGGAACCACCCATTTTCCTCTCTGCAAGAGGACCAAAATGAAACCCAGGATTTCCTGGACTTAATAAATTGTCAGCGGTTGCATTTTGGGGGAGGAAAAAACCCTTGGTTGGATATGAACTGGAGAATTTGACTGTTTTCTTCTTTTGATGTAAGACCACCAGCCACAGATTAAAAACCCTTCCATTTCTGGCTGGCCGGGGAACTGCAGCCCAGCAAACTGTGGCCGATTTAGGTATACAGGGGGGCAGGGTCTACTGATAAAATGGTTCAGTGCCTCAGGAACTCCTATGAAGGGAGTCATTTGAGGAAACTCTCATTCCTAAAATCTTTCATTATTATTATTATTATTATTATTATTATTATTATTATACTTTAAGTTTTAGGGTACATGTGCACAATGTGCGGGTTAGTTACATATGTATACATGTGCCATGCTGGTGTGCTGCACCCATTAACTCATCATTTAGCATTAGGTATATCTCCTAATGCTATGCCTCCCCCCTCCCCCCAACCCCACAACAGTCCCCAGAGTGTGATGTTCCCCTTCCTGTGTCCATGTGTTCTCATTGTTCAATTCCCATCTATGAGTGAGAACATGCGGTGTTTGGTTTTTTGTCCTTGCGATAGTTTACTGAGAATGATGATTTCCAATTTCATCCATGTCCCTACAAAGGACATGAACTCATCATTTTTTATGGCTGCATAGTATTCCATGGTGTATATCTGCCACATTTTCTTAATCCAGTCTATCATTGTTGGACATTTGGGTTGGTTCCAAGTCTTTGCTATTGTGAATAGTGCCACAATAAACATACATGTGCATGTGTCTTTATAGCAGCATGATTTATAGTCCTTTGGGTATATACCCAGTAATGGGATTGCTGGATCAAATGGTATTTCTAGTTCTAGATCCCTGGGGAATCGCCACACTGACTTCCACAATGGTTGAACTAGTTTACAGTCCCACCAACAGTGTAAAAGTGTTCCTATTTCTCCACATCCTCTCCAGCACCTGTTGTTTCCTGACTTTTTAATGATTGCCATTCTAACTGGTGTGAGATGGTATCTCATTGTGGTTTTGATTTGCATTTCTCTGATGGCCAGTGATGGTGAGCATTTTTTCATGTGTCTTTTGGCTGCATAAATGTCTTCTTTTGAGAAGTGTCTGTTCATATCCTTTGCCCACTTTTTGATGGGGTTGTTTGTTTTTTTCTTGTAAATTTGCTTGAGTTCATTGTAGATTCTGGATATTAGCCCTTTGTCAGATGAGTGGGTTGCAAAAATTTTCTCCCATTTTGTAGGTTGCCTGTTCACTCTGATGGTAGTTTCTTTTGCTGTGCAGAAGCTTTTTAGTTTAATTAGATCCCATTTGTCAATTTTGGCTTTTGTTGCCATTGCTTTTGGTGTTTTAGACATGAAGTCCTTGCCCATGCCTATGTCCTGAATGGTAACGCCTAGATTTTCTTCTAGGGTTTTTATGGTTTTACGTCTAACATTTAAGTCTTTAATCCATCTTGAATTAATTTTTGTATAAGGTGTAAGGAAGGGATCCAGTTTCAGCTTTCTACATACGGCTAGCCAGTTTTCCCAGCATCATTTATTAAATAGGGAATCCTTTCCCCATTGTTTGTTTTTCTCAGGTTTGTCAAAGATCAGAGAGTTGTAGATATGCGGCATTATTTCTGAGGGCTCTGTTCTGTTCCATTGATCTCTATCTCTGTTTTGGTACCAGTACCATGCTGTTTTGGTTACTGTAGCCTTGTAGTATAGTTTGAAGTCAGGTAGCATGATGCCTCCAGCTTTGTTCTTTTGGCTTAGGATTGACTTGGCAATGTGGGCTCTTTTTTGGTTCCATATGAACTTTAAAATAGTTTTTTCCAATTCTGTGAAGAAAGTCATTGGTAGCTTGATGGGGATGACATTGAATCTATAAATTACCTTGGGCAGTATGGCCATTTTCACGATACTGATTCTTCCTACCCATGAGCATGGAATGTTCTTCCATTTCTTTGTATCCTCTTTTATTTCCTTGAGCAGTGGTTTGTAGTTCTCCTTGAAGAGGTCCTTCACGTCCCTTGTAAGTTGGATTCCTAGGTATTTTATTCTCTTTGAAGCAATTGTGAATGGGAGTTCACTCATTATTTGGCTCTCTGTTTGTCTGTTATTGGCGTATAAGAATGCTTGTGATTTTTGTGCATTGATTTTGTATCCTGAGACTGCTGAAGTTGCTTATCAGCTTAAGGAGATTTTGGGCTGAGACAATGGGGTTTTCTAGATAAACAATCATGTCATCTGCAAACAGGGACAATTTGACTTCCTCTTTTCCTAATTGAATACCCTTTATTTCCTTCTCCTGCCTGATTGCCCTGGCCAGAACTTCCAACGCTATGTTGAATAGGAGTGGTGAGAGAGGGCATCCCTGTCTTGTGCCAGTTTTCAAAGGGAATGCTTCCAGTTTTTGCCCATTCAGTATGATATTGGCTGTGGGTTTGTCATAGATAGCTCTTATGATTTTGAGATACGTCCCATCAATACCTAATTTATTGAGAGTTTTTAGCATGAAGCATTGTTGAATTTTGTCAAAGGCCTTTTCTGCATCTATTGAGATAATCATGTGGTTTTTGTCTTTGGTTCTGTTTATATGCTGGATTACAGTTATTGATTTGTGTATATTGAACCAGGCTTGCATCCCCGGGATGAAGCCCACTTGATCATGGTGGATAAGCTTTTTGATGTGCTGCTGGGTTCAGTTTGCCAGTATTTTATTGAGGATTTTTGCATCAATGTTCATCAAGGATATTGGTCTAAAATTCTCTTTTTTGGCTGTGTCTCTGCCCGGCTTTGGTATCAGGATGATGCTGGCCTCATAAAATGAGTTAGAGAGGATTCCCTCTTTTTCTATTGATTGGAATAGTTTCAGAAGGAATAGTACCAGTTCCTCCTTGTACCTCTGGTAGAATTCAGCTGTGAATCCATCTGGTCCTGGACTCTTTTTGGTTGGTAAGCTGTTGATTATTGCCACAATTTCAGATCCTGTTATTGGTCTATTCAGAGATTCAACTTCTTCCTGGTTTAGTCTTGGGAGAGTGTATGTGTCGAGGATAAATTCCTTCTAGATTTTCTAGTTTATTTGCGTAGAGGTGTTTGTAGTATTCTCTGATGGTATTTGTATTTCTGTGGGATCGGTGGTGATATCCCCTTTGTCATTTTTTATTGCATCTATTTGATTCTTCTCTCTTTTTTTCTTTATTAGTCTTGCTAGCAGTCTATCAATTTTGTTGATCCTTTCAAAAAACCAGCTCCTGGATTCATTAATTTTTTGAAGGGTTTTTCCACCTATTCCAAAATTGACCACATAGTTGGAAGTAAAGCTCTCCTCAGCAAATGTAAAAGAACAGAAATTATAACAAACTGTCTTTCAGACCACAGTGCAATCAAACTAGAACTGAGGATTAAGAAACTCACTCAAAACCGCTCAACTACATGGAAACTGAACAACCTGCTCCTGAGTGACTACTGGGAACATAACGAAATGAAGGCAGAAATAAAGATGTTCTTTGAAACCAACGAGAACAAAGACACAACATACCAGAATCTCTGGGATACATTCAAAGCAGTGTGTAGAGGGAAATTTATAGCACTAAATGCCCACAAGAGAAAGCAGGAAACATCCAAAATTGACACCCTAACATCACAATTAAAAGAACTAGAAAAGCAAGAGCAAACACATTCAAAAGCTAGCAGAAGGCAAGAAATAACTAAAATCAGAGCAGAACTGAAGGAAATAGAGACTCATTCCTAAAATCTTTTCAAAAAATGTATAAATTTTCAAGGGAAAAGTGTATCATTAAATTACATCATTATTTGCTTTCCAAAAAGTGTATAAATCATTCCTAAAATCTGAAGCAGGATTCCAAAGCATTCTTAAGCAGGAAGCAATATCTCAACCTTTCCCAGTGCTGCCATCCTACTTGAGGTAAGGCCAGGAACCAGCCAGCATCCAGGGCAGTGGTTCTGTGGGGGAATGCGACCTGATCCACTTTACTTGTCCCTTAACTGGCAGGAAGGAAGCCTACCGCACAGCCTCCCTACTGCCTAGGAGAAGGCACCATTCTCTTCTTTCTTGATGTATGGCTGCAGGGAACAAAAAAATTAACTCCTTGCCTACTAATTAGTTAATGATCACCTTGACCACAGCAAAGAGAAGTATTTATAAATTGGGTGGTAAGTCAGACACACACTAAGACCAGTGGTTTTCTTTTATAATTAGGAGAACAAAATGAAACATCAATCTGAGACTTAAGGACTTTTGCTTTTCCCCTCATTTTAAATAGAGATAGTTTGAGAATTGGCAGGAGGAAAAGTAACTGTTGACCAAATTGATGTATAAAGAAGCAAACAGTGTAAGCGTGCTGGAGTTCTCTCTAAATGGAAGTAGTACGAAGTTCCCAAACCAGGCTGGGGAGCCAGAGTGGGGTTTAGTCCCCCTTCTACTGCTGCTAGTTGTATGACTCAACAAATTATTTTCCACTTCAACTTCCCCGTGAAATGGGGATAATGGTAGTATTCATCTTTGGTTGTATGAGGATTCAGTGGAACCAATTGTGCATGTGAAAGGCCTAGCACAGCATCTAGCACACTGTTAATGGTATGTGCTAACTGTGGAGATAAGCAGGAAGCCAGAGCCCCTGAGGACGGACACTTAAACCATATCAGCTTAAAAAGAGGTGGATGGAGACCAGGGCCTTCAAACACATGAACAGTTTTCCTAACCAAATTATTATAATGTGGGCCCAGGCAATAATCTTGCTTTCCACTGTATTTACCAGTTTAATTACTGTATGCCCCTTTGATCAGTCTATTGAGACCCAGAAGCTTTTAATTAGGAAATGAATTACAGATTCATGAAGTTAGAATGTAAAACAGTCAAATTAGTTTTTCCCCCACAGAAGCTATGTTTGGTGGTGGGGGTGGTGGGAAGCTTGTTTTTACAATGTAGGGTTCACTCGAATGGTAAGGAAATGCGGGGAATTAATATATTGACTGCCTACTGCATTCCAGGCATGTGCTGGGTACTTTAATACAGGGCTTTACAAACTGTCCACAATGAAGGGCCAATTTTACTTTTTCCAGTCGGCCATGGACTGATATGTTTGCATCAATATATTTGAATGCTGTGTCACGTCAAAATGCTATAAACAGCCAGGCACGGTGGCTCATGCCTGTAACCCCAGCACTTTGGGAGGCCAAGGCGGGCAGATCACTTGAGGCCAGGAGTTTGAGACCAGCCTGGCCAACATGGCAAAATCCTGTCTCTACTAAAAATACAAAACTTAACTGGGTGTGGTGGTGCATGCCTGTAATCCCAGCTACTCAGGAGGCTGAGGCATGAGAATCACTTGAACAGGGAGGCAGAGGTTGCAGTGAGCTGAGATCACACCACTGCACTCCAGCCTGGGTGACAGAACAAGACTCTATCTCAAAACAAAAGGAAACAAAAAAAATCTATAAACGTTTCTAAATGCTCCTCTCAATTTCTGTACATTGCATTACAAATCAGTTCATCAATCACCCTCTGAGTGCACTTTATCTCCCTTCTTCCTGAAAGCTGGCTCTTCCAGACTTCAGGCAGGAGCATCTGAACAGGGAGAAGTATAGGAAGAAAATAGGCTCCACTTCCAGGAAACAACACCGTGGAGGAGATGTAGTCAGATTTTTGTTATGATCAGCTATATGAGGAGACAATAAATTAAAGGAAAAAATAATAATTTCAGAATGATGGGTTAATGTTGTTTAATTATAAAGGTCAGAAAGAAATAATACATTGGTATCAAGTTTAAACATTACTTGGAGATATTACATGAAGATATTTCTTGAGTTTTTGTCCATTGAGGCAACGTATTATACCTTAGGTCAAAAGGATTGCTTTGACCTACTTTTATTTATTTTTTAAAATAAGATAAATCTATATCTGTAATACAGCACATTCAAAATGTCCCCTCCTTGCCATCTATACTTTACTGTTAAGATTTTGGGGTGAGAAGCGGATTGTATAATGAGAGGGCATGAACATAGGCAGCTCAGATGGTCCTGGGCATCATGTCTGTTTCTCTGAGCCAGCTGCTTCTATGTGATCAGATTAAAGGCACTGATAGTCATGAAGGAGCAGCTGGATTAAACCAGATTACCCTGATAGTGATGAGATGCAGGCTACTTAACCCTTACCAGTCAGAGACACTTGAGAGTGAAAAGAGAATCTAAAACTCCTCCAGAAAAAGAGAAATTTGGTAGCAGCAAGTAACCCAAAGAAGCATCTTTCTTGCTTTTATCTTAATTATGTTTTAACAATAAAACACAACCCAAACGGGACAAACCACTTCAAATTCGAAACAGGAAATTAAATCCAGCAAACACTCCCACCTCCACCAACAGCTCTGGAAAGACAGTGCCTTTGTCTGTGAAAGACCACGAAGCACAAAGTTAGCATTTTCCTCTCAAAGTGATGCAAGCTTTTTCTTGGCCCCTTCGCCGGACTTACGGAAGGGTGCATTATCTACTGGGCCTACCATGCTCAACCCCTTGTGGGAGGGAGCACATGAATGAGCGAGTGCGGGATCCAGCTGGCCAGCTGCTCCAGGCACTGACACAGGAGCAAGCTCCTTGAGGGGAATGCAGCAGCACCCAGGTAAGGGTGTCCATGACCCTGAAGCCCCAGAGGGGCTGTTACAGTGCTCCTTTAGTTCCACCATCTGCAGATGGTGTCAGGTTAGCAGCTCAGTTGGCCCCTTGCCTCGCTGCATGGGGCATGCCACTGGTGAGGGGCAAAGGGCCAGTGTGACAGCCTTTTCTGGGTACCAGTACTTGGTGGGCCCTGAGCTCTTGTCCAGTGTCCAAGAAGAATGAGGTGACGCAGATGATTGAAGGATGGTGAAGGTGGAGAATTTTACTGAGCAATGAAAATGGCTTTCAGCAGAGAAGGGAACTGGAGAGGGGATGGGAAGGGCAGGTCATCTTCCCAGAAGTCAGATTGTCTCTTCCCTGAAGTTAGGCCATTTCCTCCTCTACCAACTGAGTCTGGGATCTTTATAGGCACAGGATGGGAAGTGTGTGTTGATTGGTTTGTGAGTATGCAAAAAAAGTTAAAGTGAAGACGCCACTCAAAGGTGGGCAAAACAGTGTAGAAAACCACTTAGGAAAGGTTAGGTGTATGTAAAATAGGTGAAGGGTGGGGATCAATCAGAGGAAGGTGTCCAAACAGGAAGACAAGTTCTTGATCCAGTCCCAGGATTTAACTTGTAGCTTGGCTTTCAGGCTTTAAACTGTCTTCTACTTGGAGGTGGAATTTCACTGGGTATCCGCCCCTATCTGCCTAGGCATTTGGCCACCTCCTTTCACTATCAAAAGCAGGAGAAGAAGCAAGCAATATCACAAACAGGATTTTACCATTCTGTAAAAGCAGCCCTATTTTAAGGGGAGACACTAGAATTATGGACATAGGGGAAATTTCTCTTTAAAACTTGCATGGCAGAAATTAAGAAGGAGGAGAAATATGTACACGTAGATACTCAATATTAGCATCTAACTTAGAAGTCTTTTAGTGTGGCTGTTAATGCTGGCAGTTTTCCCCAAATCAGGTTTACACTAAGAACATTAGTTACCAGGGAAAATACATTCAAATTTTGCAAAGTAATATTCAACTCAACAATTTTAAAAAACACAGAAATATTCAGTAACATAGACCTGAACACAGTGAGCACTTATCAAGATCACGAACAGACTAGAGCATCTGACAAAGCTCAGAGACTTAGAATTTTTGCTCCATATATAGAACCATTTAATAAGATCATGTATGGTTATGTTCATACACTTTGAATTAGGAGGAAATTTTAATATATTTATCCCTGATGAAAATTAAATAGTCCTTAACTATCCTGTGTGGATTCAATGCTAGGTGCTGGAGAAGTGCAAAGGAGAGAAAGGAGTCACCTCTCCAGAGGGGAGGCTTCTTGCAGGAGGTGATGCCTGAGCGCCAGTCCCAGTAACCAACTGCCTGTTGAACAGCTGTCATGTCAGGTTCCAGCCTACTTGTGCTGACTCCGACCAGGAGCCCAGAGGTTTCACAATAACTCAATGGCCAATTAAATGTGAGGCTTTCACATACCAACGATCATGCAAATATATTCAACACACACAGGCAGTGATAGGGGAGGTCGGGGGGGCATGGTGGTTCACACTTGTAATCTCAGCACTTTGGGAAGCTGAGGTGGGAGGATCACTTGAGGCCAGGAGTTTGAGATCAGCTGGGGCAAGACCTCATCTCTACAAACAATGTAAAAAGTAGCCAGGTGTGATAGCACACTCCTGTAGTCACAGCTACTCAGCAGGCTGAAGTGGGAGGATCATTTGAGCCCAGGAGTTCGAGATTGTGGTGAGCTATTAATGTGCCAGCCTGGGCTACAGAATGAGAACCCATCTCTTAAAAAAAAAAACAAACAGGTAATGAACCATGGCGAGTAGTTCCAGAGACTAGCACGCTGACTGATGAACAGATTTGGATTTCCCTTGAAACAACAAAGTGGGAGGAGTGTTGTTGCTGTTCTTCTCCCAGCAGAACTTATGGCAGCCTCTGTTCGTGAGGAGGCCTCAGAGTTCTCACGGGCAGAGCTTCTACAGGCTCTCGGCCATGGTCACTTTCTTTGCTGTTTTTATACCCTGCATAGGAATGTCCATTGTCATAACTTAGCCATCTTTTGGCTTCACTTTCTTATTTTATTTTTTAAAATTAATTTTGGTGACAGGGTTTCACTATGTTGCCCAGGCTGGTCTGGAACTTCTGAGTTTAAGCAATCCACCTTGCCTCGGCCTCCCAAAGTGCTGGGATTACCGGTGTGAGCCATCCCGCCTGGCCTTGGCTTCACTTTCTTATCAAGTTTTGGGGTTGCCTGGCCACAGCAGGTGTTGTCATCTCAGTCCCACAAACATATGCTTATCACTTTGAGCAGTCAGCAGTTTCATTGTGAGCTGAGTCACTTATCATTGTGACTCCATTTTGTTGGTGGAAACAACCCAGATGTTATTCAAGTAATGAACACTTTTTAAAAATGTGGAATATAGATATATAATGGAATATTATTCAGCCCTGAAAAAAAGTTTTGTCACATGCTGTGTTAAAAATAAACCTTGAGAATATTATGTTAATAAAAACAAGCCAGTGACAAAGTGACAGATAGTGTATGATTCCACTTATATGACATAAGTAGCCAAACTCACAAAAAGTAGAATGGTGTTTGTTAAGGGCTGCTGAGGGGGTAAAATGGGCAGTTGTTACTTAACAGGTATTCAGTTTCAGATTTACCAGATGTGAAATTCTGGACATCTGTTGTATAACAATGTGAATATAGACAATATAGACAACAATATTGAATTATACACTTAAAAAGATTTAAGATGGTAGATTTTATGTTATGTATTTTACCACAATATATTTTTATAAAACAATAACTAGAAGAAAAAGAAGACTCCATTTTGAGACATTTAGAATCACAAAACATTATTATATATCAATAGCCCTACCTGGATGTCCCAAGACACCTCAGTCCCAGCATGTCCAAACCTAAGTGTCTCGTAATTCTTGTAGGAATTCAGAAGTCATCCCAGATGCCTCAATTCCCACCTCCTGCGGGATCTGAAAGAAGGAGAGGGATTAGGCAATGGGAAATGGGTGTAGTTGGAGGTGAAATGGGGGTGTGGTGGCCACCAGGTGAGGGGTTTAGGAGTCTCCAGGGTCACTGGTGACTTGATACAGATTTGCATTTCAGCAAGATTGTTATCAGCAGAACAAAGTTGAATGGAGCCAGGAGAGCTTGGGCTGGAGACCAGCTCACTGGACCTTGGGAGGAAATTCTACCTCCTACTTTGACCTCAAGTTTGCCAGGACCAACACAGCTAGAACAAAGCCTCTCATGACAAAATAGCCAATTGGGAAACCTTTGAATTTTCCTCCCACCCTTAAAACACGCTTCAGGCACTCAAGGGAAAGGGAAAATGGAAGAGGAAAGGAAGAAAAACAGGGTCTCTTGCGCCCTGCAGGTGTGCAGGGCAGCCCTCCACAGGCCCACAGGAGGCTTGGCAGCAGGGAGCAGGTGACTGCTGTGCATCTGGGATGAGACCAGCACTTTCCCCACACACTGCTAGCTGTCCCCCACCCGAAGACAGTGGGAGCACATTGCACTCTTTCCACAACTGGCAGAGTCAAGCCTAAAAACTGCTAGAATCCCTTCACTTTCTTCCAAATGCCAGCCTTGTAGAGTGGTCAGATTTTCTTAATGTTGATATGAAAACCATGAGAATACAGTTGTCCTCGGTATCCTGGAGTAGGGGAAGGATTGGCTCCAGGAACCCTTTGTGGATGCCAGAATCCAAGGATTCTCAAGTCCCTTGTATGTAATAAAATGGTCTAGTATTTGCATATAACCTACATGCATCCTCCCATCTACTTTAAATCCCCCTAGATTACCTCTAATACCTAACACAATGTAAATGCTCTGTAAATAATTGTTATACAATATTATTCATTTGCATTATGTTTTATTGTTGTATTGCTGTTTTTTATTTTTTGAATATTTTTGACCTCAGGTTTGGTTGAATCCAGGATGCAGAACACAACTTTTCCACAAAATAATTTAAAATACTTGTCAAAAGATAAAATGACTGCAATTTAATTTAAAAGATTTTCTTTGGCTTTATTTGCAATTCTAGAATTGGGCAACACTTCATTCCATAAAATAGCCTGTGTTCCAGTGAGGTAAACAGAGGAGGTTGGTTTTACAAACAGAAAAGAGCTAAAGAAAGCAGAAACACAAGAAAAAGCAGATTGGTCATTTCGGTTATTTTCCTTGTAAGGTGAGAACAGGGAAATAGAACAACAGAAAAATAACTGATTGGTTAAGATCAGGTTTCTTCAGGTCATTATTTTTTATTTTTTGGTAAGGATTAAAGTAGAGGGAACTTTATTATCATGCTGACTGAAACTGGCCTGTTTGGGATATTTGGCTATTATCTCTCCTGATTTCTCGGAAGGTCATATAAGAACTTAGTTTTGCTTTGATGATGTGGAACTTTAGTATGAGTGGCTCCATTTTGGGTTTTTAATTCTGTTCTCTTGGGGCGCTGTGCAGGAGCAAAACAGTGGCCTCCTGTAATTTCTATTTAACATGCTTTACTCTTATCAAAAGGACAAGATTGTCCAGGGTTGGTTCAACCATAGTGTGAGCTAATTATGGAAAAAGAACTTTGATTTTACTTCTTTTGTAATAAGAGTGAACGTATTTACTGAGTCGGCATTCCCTTTCATGATTATCATTATATGAAGGAGGAAATTGGGGCACACAGGGGTTACATAACTACCCTGAGGTCACGCAGCTGGTGGGGGAAGCCTGGGTTGCATGTTGACAGGCAGTTCCAGAATCTGAGTTCACTGTGCCACTCAGGTTGGCTGGAGGAGGGAAAAGGCATCTTCCTTCCATTTCTGCTTGTGTTGAGGCTGTTGCTACAACCCAAGCAAGACGTGTTGAGGGAATCAACTCAGTTATGCAGGTGGAAGTAGAGGAAAAGGGACCAATGATGACATAGCTAGGAAATATATATTTAGGCTAATGTAAAAAAATGTATTTAGGAAAAGCAAGGTAACATTTAGTATGTGAGAGGTACCTGAGATGATTCCATGTCCCCGCAGAGAGTACTTCCTGAAGTATTTCCATGAGTTACTTCAGGAGTGGGCTGGTAGGGCAGCGGGAGGAGCTGAAGGGGATAGAAGGGAGAGTATATATGTGATTCAGATATGTATTTCTGACTTGAAGTGAAATATGCTGGAAAACTCACACAACTATGGTAAAGAAAAATTACTCAATTCCTTTTTACCCTCTTGTACAGTCACTCATTAAAAGATAAGAAATTCGGCCGGGCATGGTGGCTCACACCTGTAATCCCAGCACTTTGGGAGGCAGAGGCAGGCAGATCACTTGAGGCCAGGAGTTCGAGACCAGCCTGGCCAACATGATGAAACCACATCTCTACCAAAAATAGAAAAAAATTAGCCACGCGGCGTGGCACGCACCTGTAATCCCAGCTACTCGGGAGCCTGAGGTGGGAGGATGGGAGGATCACTTGAGTTCAGGAGGTCGAGGCTGCAGTGAGCCGAGATCGTGCCACTGCACTCTAGCCTGAGTGCAGCGACATCTGACATCAGGGACTGCTGATGAGTTACAAAAAATAAATAAATAAATAAATAAATAAATAAATAAAATAAAGAAAGAAAGAAATTCCTTTAGGAAACCTTGAATATGATTGAGATGACAAAACCCTTGGGAATGAGAAAAAAAGGAGCTGTGGAGATAAAAGTGAAAGTTCGGGATCTCAGAGGAGCTAAGAAACTTTGGTACATGAGAAATTGGATAAATGGAAGAGTATCTGAGACAGAAAAGGATTAAGCAAACAGAGGATTGTGGCCAACATCATGGCAAGGAAACATGAAAAGCAAGGTTTTGAGCAACCATGCTGTAGTAACTTCCTAAAACATTGTAGTCTCCACAGTGTGCTTAGGGCAATATTTACAAACCTACAGGCTGATGTTAAAATGGTTTTGTGCTCAGGTAGCATGTCTCCTACAGAGACAGGAGGCAGGAGACAAGCCTGAGTTGCAAGGGTAATTAGAATCAGCAAGAAAAAGAATGGAAAAAGAAAGTTGGTGTGCAGGGAGAAGAATTTATTTGAACTTCTCCATCAAGCGTGTTCCGCTATAGGCACAGCACAGGCTGTGGGCACAGCACCCTCTAGTGTCTGGGAGAGTCACTGCAGCTTTGCTGTGTGGTAGGAGCACAGTTGTTCAGCTCCGTTAACTTGAACAAATATTTACAGTAGTGTTCTCTCTAGTGACCCAGGGCCTACTTGGTGTGCCTGACTGTTGTTCTAAGCTTTAGTCTTACCACCTCTCCACCTTGAAATGGGGCGTTCAGGTCTGGCCTGGCTGGAGGCAAGGCTATGAATTGTATGCTGTGGAACTGTCTTTCAGTGTCTGTGAATTTGCCTACTAGTGCCTTTAGCAGGGAAGGTGGGGTGCTCTCCCATGTTTGAAATAAAGGCCTTAGTCTTTAGTTTCAATTTAACCTGCAGTTTAACATTTCACGCAGTATAATGCAGCCATAAAAAAGAATGAGATCATGTCTTTTTCAGGGACATGGATGAAGCTGGAAGCCATCCTTCTCAGCAAACTAACACAGAAACAGAAAACCAAATACCACATGTTCTCACTCATAAGTGGGAGTTGAACAATGAGAACACATGGGCACAGGGAGGGTAACATCACACACTGAGGCCTGTCGGGGGGTGCGGGGCAAGGGGAGGGAGGGCATTAGGACAAATACCTAATGCATGTGGGGCTTCAAACCTAGGTGATGGGTTAATAGGTGCAGCAAACCAGCATGGCACATGTATACTTATGTAACAAACCTCAGGTTCTGCACATGTATCCCAGAACTTAAAGTAAAAAAAACAAAAAAAAATCCACTTGGTATAACAGAAGGATCGCTTTACACAGCGGTCACTGATGTCTGATGTGGGACCAGCAACAACTTTAAGGAAGGTTTTGGTGACAATCAGCTATCATAAGGTGGCTATTTCTAGACTGATTACCTCCCTCCCTCCCATCCTCCCTTCCTTCCTTCCCTCCTTCCTTCCTTCCTTCCGATGTAGCCAGTCTAAATTATCAAGAGATAAAAAAAAACTCCCTTAAGCCCTTTTGCCCCCATCAGGCTGCTTTGGATGCAGCTCCACCGTTTACTGCCTTAGTGTTACCATGGGTGGGTTCCTCAGTCTCATCATATGAAAAAGGGACAATAGTAGGATGTACCATGTAGGGTTTCTGTGAGTATTAAATGAGGTAATGCCTGTAAAGCACACCGTACCTGACATAAAGAAGCCATTGAGCAATATCAGCTAGGCAGCAATAACATTAAAGCTTTGAGCTTTGTTTCATGGGAGAAGAGGTTCAAATTAGCACTGAGCCTCTTCAACAGAAAGGGCTGGTAACTTGACATAAGTGAAAACCTCTGACCTTCCTTGGAAACACTAGTTTGGATAGTGGTTATTTAACAAGTACAAACACTTGAGTTTGGGGCCAAGCAGTGTACCTGGTGCTAAAGAGATGGAAGGCGTGGTCTTTGGCTTCAAGGTGTTTATTATCTTGTTAGGAAAAAATAAAAAGCCACTGATCACTAAGCACGGTGATAGTACCGAGCAGCATTTGTCCTTTGGTGTTGTTTAGTGCGGTGGGGCTGCCTATGAAAGTAGCTAGTTAGGCCCTTTTGGAAGGAGGTAAGCTTTGAACAGTGCCTCCTCCCAGAGTTTTCTTCATGGGGCTCAGCTCTGACATTCTCATCACTTGTTTGGCAGCTCTTTGCACCACCCCTGAAGGAGAAAAGTCATATTCCACCTTGGGGCTACAGTAGGGTACAGTGGAAGCAGGCTTCATCCACTCTCTGGTAGCATGACCTTGACCAAGTTATTTAACTTCCCAGCTTCGAGTTTCTCATTTCCAAACTAAGTGGTATGGTGAGGATAGAGTCTAGCCCACTGTCTGGCACATGACAGGTGCTGTGAACATTTCCATCTCTCTCTGTCTCTCTTTTTTTTTTTTTTTTTTTTTTTTGAGACAGAGTCTCACCCTGTCACCCAGGCTGAAGTGCAGTGGCACAATCTGGGCTCACTGCTACCTCCATCTCCCGGGTTCAAGCAATTCTCCTGCCTCAGCCTGCTGAGTAGCTGAGACTACAAGCACGTGCCACCACGCCCGGCTAATTTTTGTATTTTTGGTAGAGATGGGTGTCACCATGTTGGCCAGGCTGGTCTCAAACTCCTGACCTCAAGTGATCTGCCCGCATCAGCCTCCCAAAGTGCTGGGATTACAGGCATGAGCCACTGCGCCTGGGTACATCTCTTTTCTTGATTACCTTCAAAGAATAAAATGAACACTTGGATTGATTTGGCCACTCAGTGGCCTTCCTTGTCACTAGGACTTTCCTAGCCTGTTGACAATGAGGAAAGAAGGCTTAGTAAACCAACACTACTACAACTACTGCTGCTACTGCTACTACTACTAGCTGTGAACACCAGAATAGCTCAGATTACTTTTGAACCTGTGAGAGGGGCCAAAATGCAGGTCTTATGTGTTCCCAAGGGGCCCCTCAAATGCCACATGGGAAGTTAGGAAAAGAGGACCAGGTATCAGTCTTTGTGCTGATGTAAAGGAAAGAGGTTGGCAGCACAGACACTTTCTCCTACCTGTCTAGCGGGAAACATCCTCAGTGCAACTGTCAGAAACGCCTGCATCCTTTCCCTGGAGGAGTTTGTCAGACCAAACAAATCTGTATCTAAGAACATGTTTTTCCAGGAAGGCAGGATCTGATACGGATGGCAGATCTAGAAACCCAAAGATCCCTTCTGCCTAGAGTTACATGGACTGTGCTTTTTCCTTAGTCCTGGCGAAGTTGCACCAGTGGGTGGGATGAGGTCAGCAATTAGAGTCAGCTCTTCCTCAGTTAGGATTGGCCTTTGGCTTGTAGGCTGTTTCCTAGGGAGGGAACCCAGCGTCAGAACTTCATCTCACCCTGTGACATGTCACTACTGACAACAAGTGTGGTCCTCTGTATGCTCTGTGAGTATGCTGGGCATGCTGCTGTTGGGTCCATCACTGTGTTATGCAGAAAAGTGACGAAGGGCTAGGCAGGTGTGTGCAGCGTGCCATTTAGCGTATCCCCTCAGGCATGCACCCAGGAGCAGTGTGGTCTGAGCTTGTGTTAATTCTAAGAAGAAATAAACTAATGATGAAACTCTAATTGTTTTTAATGGAAAATGTTCATAAGGTGAAGTTATTATGCATGCTAAATGATTTTTTCAATTTTGTTTCTTTTAGGAGAACTATCCTATCCCTGAACCAGGCCCAAATGGTAAGTTCTTGGGAAACATGACTTATATTCTGTTATTTCCTGTTGTTTCCTTTGGAGTCACATGTATATTGCTCCCTTACCTCTCTTTTCCAACTGTTTATTACTTTTGCGTCCATTAAAAACCTATGCTTTTCTTATGCTGAGAACAGTGTGTACTGCCCACAGCATGACCTCATGGGAAGTTTATCTTGGCTGCTACATGAAATAAAAAGAATAGTGATAGAATCAGAAAAATTACCGTACCAGACTGCTGACTTGTCCCAAAGAGTTTTTGATGTGAAGTATATGGACCAATGACAGAATTCTTCCTCTTTTGACCTAATGACAGTGTACCCTATCTACCAGAAGCTGCTGTTGGAGTGGCCAAGTGTCCTAACCCTAACCCAAACTTTGAAAAGGAGTGAGTCTACAGAACTTAATCTTTAGCAAAGGGAGCATCATGCCAGTTTCCCCACTCCCCAGGAAGGCCAGTCACCGAAGTGTGGGGCAGCCCAGGACCTACTGTCCAGTGGGGGTGGGAGGGGCTGCATGAGGCCCTGTCCCCTGCCCTAATCAACCAAGCACAGAAAGTGAGTGAGCACACTGGGGCAGGGTTTCCAACACCTTTACTCCACTCCTTCCACGTCTCTCACTTGCTAAGCCTGTGGGGCTTAGCTGACATGCTGACGCCCAAGGTGGCATCTGCAACTTCCCAGCTTTGGGTTTCTCATGTACAAACTGAGTGCTATGGTGAGGATAAAGTCCAGCCCACCGTCTGCACATGGCAGGTGCTGTGAACATTTCCATCTCTTTTTGTCTGTTGGCTCGGGCAGATCCCTGCTGACAGCTTTCTAATCCCTCCCATCCCTGGAATTCCACTTTGTCATAATCGTGCAGGACCCTGAAGTGAGGCTGGGGGCAATGGTCAGAGTGTCTGTAGATACTCACCCTCCCCCTCTCACACCTAGACAGTCAGGTCCCCTTTCTGCCCTTGAGGAGTTGGGGGTGTCCTTTCCCACTTTGTCCTACCTCACACCAGAACCGCAGCTTCTGGGTGAACATCAGATCAAAGGCAGCTTTCCTGGTAGATCCACAGCTTTGCTACTGAAAGGTCAGTTGTGTTATCGACTTGTAAGTGGTAAGAATACAGACTAGATAGAATATAACCATTCTGTGGGTGCTGAGTAAGTATTGTATAGTTAGGGTTCAAGGATTTTCACCAAGATACCATGTTCAGAGAAGTGAAAGAGTTACCTCACTGTGTCCTGAAAAGTTGACTGTTGATTCCATAAGTGGCCAAATGAGGGCTGTCTTGGACCCAGAGTACAAGCTTGGCTCCTGGTACAGCTTTTCTCCCTGAAGCAGCATTCTGCTTGCACTCTCGTCTCTTGCTACACTTGCATTGGAAGCGAAAAGAGTGCATTTCAGCGAGTGTTCTAGCAAGTCAAATCTAATCTCTCACTACCAATTGCTACTTCAAGAGACGAAATTCTGAGATGATTTTCCTAACTCAAATGACTTTTCCCTGCATTTGACCTGAGAATTCACCCTGCCATTTCTTACTCTTCACTAAAACTAAGGAGGAAGAAAGTTCTGAAGAGCCACCCCTGGCAGTCTGTGGCAAGTGCAGTGCATAGCAGAGATTTGGGTCTCTTTGTCTTTCTAAGGCAGAGTGTTTTTTTCAGGGAGGTATTCATAACCATCATCTCAGTCAGAGATGATGGTACTTATTGGTACTTATTCCACCAAAGGGGCTCAGTACCATCATTATTTTAAACTTAGAAAACTAGCCAGGCGTGGTGGCTCAGGCCTGTAATCCCAGCACTTTGGGAGGCTGAGGCAGGTGGATCACCTGACGTCATGAGTTCAAGACCAGCCTGGCAAACATGGCGAAACCACGTTTCTGCTAAAAATACAAAAATTAGCCTGGCATGGTGGTGCACACCTGTAATCCCAGCTACTTGGGAGGCTGAGGCAGGAGAATTGGTTGAACCCGGGAGGCGGAGATTGCGGTGAGCCGAGATCCTGCCATTGCACTCCAGTCTGGGCAACAGAGGGAGACTCTGTCTCAAAAAAAAAAAAAGAAACAAAGAAAGAAAGAAAACAATAGGCGTGAAGAACTCAACTTGATAGTTCACAAAATGTTGCCAAGCTGAGATTCTACCAGACCTGTTCTCATAAATAGATAGGAATCACGCATAGCATATTAATTGTCTGGAAAGTTATCTTTTGGAAAATAGTTTGTTCTCTTAAGTGGTTGGTACATTTCATCCTACTAATGATATATTGTTTACCCAGTGTATTGGTTAGTGTTGTCCAGAGAAACAAAACCACTAAGATATATGTGTATGTATGTATGTGTGTATGTGTACAAAGGGCAGGCTGGAAATTCAGGTAAGAGTTGATGTTGCAGTCTTGAGGAGAATTCCTTCTCCTTCAGAAAACCTCAGTCTTTGCCTTTAAGACCTTCAAACTGATTGGATGAGGCTCACCCACATTATGGAGGGTAATCTACTTTACTCAAAATCTATTGGTTTAAAAGTTAACCATGCCCAACACGTATCTTCAAACAACCAAGCACTATAGCCTAGCCAAGTGGACACATAAAATTAGCCACCACATGTGGAAGCTTGTTTGCCTTGCGAGACTTAATCAGGGTTGCTATGGAGCTTGATTTCCTCTGTGGCCTAAATTGTGTACCTGGCCTGGTAACCCAGCCCTCTACCCTGGGCAAAGGGAAATCACTAGGTCACCTCAGAGTGATAGGGGTTGTTCCCTCTCTCACTGTTTTTTTCTTCCTTTCTTTTATCAGAGGTCTTGCTGAGGATGCATTCTGTTGGAATCTGTGGCTCAGATGTCCACTACTGGGAGTATGGTCGAATTGGGAATTTTATTGTGAAAAAGCCCATGGTGCTGGGACATGAAGCTTCGGGAACAGTCGAAAAAGTGGGATCATCGGCAAAGCACCTAAAACCAGGTCAGCAAGGTCCTTCGACTTATGTGTTCATTCAACATAAATATGTGTGCATGCTTTCTTTGGGCCAGGCCCTCTGTTAAGCTCTGGGTACAGCAGGGAACAAGACAATCTTGTTCCATACTCACATGGATCTTACCTTACACAAGAAAAGAGGGACCTGGAGCAGACAGATAGTTACTTAGTCACCATGTGTTAAGGGCAGTAGAGGAGAATGCAGGGTGTGATTAGTGTATTTTACCCAGACCCTTGGTTCATTTGAGGAAGGGACAATTAATCCAACATCTGGAGCCAGGTAAGAAATAAGCCAGGTAAAGGGCTGGAGAAAACATTTGAGGCACAGGAAACCAAACTACCTTTACATGCTGTGAACCACGGCCTTGGATATAATGTTTGATTTTTATTAGATGGCTGGGAAACCACCATTATTTTTCCTAGATTTACTAAATTCATTTTTCCAGAGGGAGGAATTCTCAGCTGTGGCAGGCTGTGTTGTTCCCTGATACCGTGAATTAAATCCAAGTTGTCTTGGCATAGTTAGCTGTTGGCTTTAACCTTCCTTTACCGGTGAGGCTGCTGTGCAGCCCGGAAATAAGGTCACGTTATTTGGGGGAAGGTGGAGGTTGACAGGAGGCCCCATCCTGTGTTAGTTATAAAGTTCTCTGAGCCCAACCACATGGAGAGGGATTGACCAGCTGTGAAGCAGTCAGGCATGTGTCTTGTTTAGGGATGTTAAGTCATTCATCATTAGTGGAAGTCAAGAAGGCTCCTGTGGTGTTACGAGGTTATTTCCTAATGGAATGTTTATAGCTTCCAACAGCCACTGATGATTGGTTCTCACCTGTGGGACAAAGTCTCTGACTATAAATTATAACAAAGAGTGGGGTTCTGTAAATGTAAATTATAACAAGGGTTTAGTCAGTTGTCCACAATGAGCTCAGTCTTATGCCACGAGCCTTGAGGGATATAGAAAAATGAGCAGATATGATCCCTGGATGCTTAGTTCTATATGGAAACACTAGATGTCAGGCCCTTCATAAATACCAGCAGTTAGACAGCAAGCCCATAGGGTACAATTAGGTGTGGGAAAGAATAGGCTTTAGGAGTTCAAAGGGCATTTGTTGTGGGCAGAGGTGGTTAAAGAGTTCATGGAGGAGATAGGTCTTTGAGCTAGACATCTAACAGTAGTAACATTAATAAGAAGGTGGCTAATATTTATTGATTTGCTACATTAGTCTCCATGTTAAACACTTAGATGTACAATTCTTTCTTTCTTTCTTTTTCTTTTTTTTTTTTTTGACGGAGTCTCGCTCTGTCACCCAGGCTGGAGTGCAGTGGTGCAATCTTGCCTTGCTGCAACCTCCACCTCCTGGTTCAAGTGATTCCCGTGCCTCAGCCTCCCAAGTAGCTGGGATTACAGACATGCAGCACCATGCCTGGCTAATTTTCGTATTTTTGGTAGAGGCTGGGCTTCACCATATTGGCCAGGCTGGTCTTGAACTCCTGACCTCAAGTTAATTGCCTACCTTGGCCTTCCAAAGTTCTGTAATTACGGGCCTAAGCCACTGCACCTGGGCTATTTATTTCATTCTTGAAACAACTCTATGAGATAGGCATTATTATCTTCATTAATTGAAGAAGAAATTGAAGCCTGGTTATTGCCCAGGGTCACTCACTAGTTGGTCTCAGAACTGGGATACCCACCCTGGTCTTTTGGACTCTAGAGCAAGTGCTCAGAACCACTGGGCTACCCAGCATCTTCATACTTGAGAACGGTTTTATATTTGAGTTATTGAAGAGGTCAGAGCTAATATTCTAGTTAAGAGGAAGCGAACAGGCTGGGTGCGGTGGCTCATGCCTGTAATCTCAGTACTTTGGGAAGCTGCGGTGGGCAGGTCACTTGAGGTCAGGGGTTTGAGACCAGCCTGGCCAATATGGTGAAACTCTGTCTAAAAATAGAAAAATTAGCCAGACATGGTGGCACGCGCCTATAGTCCTAGCTACTTGGGAGGCTAAGGCAGGAGAATTGCCTGAACTCAGGAGGCAGAGGTTGCAGTGAGCTGGGATCATGCCACTGCATGCCAGCTTTCCAGCCTTGGTGAGAGACAGAGCGAGACTCCATCTCAAAAAAAAAAAAATAAAAGAGGAAGGGAACAACAAAATTACAGATGTGAGAGTAACACATCTGGGTGCAGATAAGTCTGTGCTGCTCAGAGCAGAGGTTTTGTGTTGGGGAGTTATTGGAGATGATAAACATGCATAATCTTTATAAAAGTCCCCCTTTAAAAAGCACTTGGCTGGGCATGGTGGCTTACACCTGTAATCTCAGCACTTTGGGAGGCCGAGGCAGAAGAATTGCTTGAGCTCAGGAGTTTGAGACCAGCATGAGCAACAGAGGGAGACCCTGTCTCTACAAAAAATAAAATTAGCTGGGTGTGGTAGTGTGC
Source organism: Homo sapiens (assembly GCF_000001405.40). Classification (NCBI taxonomy): domain Eukaryota; kingdom Metazoa; phylum Chordata; class Mammalia; order Primates; family Hominidae; genus Homo; species Homo sapiens. The sequence continues at coordinate 169,279 of NT_187605.1, read as the reverse complement.
ACCTGCATTTCCAGCTACTCAGGAGGCTGAGACAGAAGGATCACTTAAGCCCGGGAGGTTGAGGTTGCAGTGAGCCATGATTGCACCACTGCACTCCAGCTTGGGTGACAAAGCAAGACTCTATCTCAAAACAATAAAATAAAATAAAATTTAAAAAGCACTGTAAAACTGTGAAATGTCATGTTATCATAATATAATCATAATTAGAAGGTAAAACTGAATAATATGAAAACTCCACCTGATTATGGAGGATCTTGAAGGCTAGGTGGAAGAATTCATCCTTAATGACATAGGCATAATTTGCAGAAAGTTCACTGGACAGGAGAGAAAGCAGAGGGAGTCAGAGGAGATAGAAGGAAGAGACAAATATAGACATTTTATTTTTTTGAGATGAAGTCTCACTCTGTTGTCCAGGCTGGAGTGTAGTGGTGCCATCTCAGCTCACTGCAACCTCAGCCTCCCAGGTTCAAGTGATTCTTGTGCCTCAGCCTCCTGAGTAGCTGGGATTACAGGCATGCACCACCACACCTGGCTAATTTTTGTATTTTTTAATAGAGACTGGGTTTCACTATGTTTGCCAAGCTGGTCTCAAACTCCTGACCTCAGGTGATCAGCTCTCCTCGGCCTCCCAGAGTGCTGGGATTACATAGGCATAAACCACCATGCCCAGCTAAATACAGACATATTTTGGTGGTCATAAGGATTTCTGTGGGTCCTTTTCTTTCCTTAGGATACAAAATTTGGATTTAAAGTCTTTCATTTGTTAACTTTGACTTAAAATTCTAATCAACTAATCTAGAAAGAAGACCACAACTCATCAAATATTTCCTAATGTTCATTTACAGAATTTAAACATATAAGTCAGTCAGGCACAGTAGCTCACGCCTGTAATCCTAGCACTTTGGGATGCCTATGTGGGCAGATCACTTGAGGTCAGAAGTTCGAGATCAGCCTGGCCAACATGGTGAAACCCCATCTCTACTAAAAATACAAAAATTAGCCAGACGTGGTGGCGTGCATCTGTAATCCCAGCTATTCAGGAGGCTGAGGCAGGAGAATTTCTTGAACCTGGGAGGTGGAGGTTGCAGTGAGCTGAGATCATGCCACTGCACTCCAACATGGGTGACAGAGCAAGACTCTGTCTCAAATAAATAAATAAACAAACAAACAAATGAACAAACATACGTATAAGTCAATAACTCTAAGGCATGGAAGCATTCCTATTTTTTTTTAAGACTAGTCAAGTGCAGTAGTGAGAAGTGGGGAAAGAGTAGAACAAGGAGTATTATCTGTAACTGAGTATGAACAATCAATTAAGATGATGCACTACCTTCAGACCAGCCTTCACCACTTATTTTAATGAGCACTAACTATGTACCAGGACTCTACACTATTCTGTGAGTACTTTCAACACAAAAAGACTTAGGAAAAATTGCTTATCATGTCCCTGCTGAATAAAGGCCAGACCTTCCATGGCCTCAGCAGGCCTCACCAGGTTCCTAACATCCTCTTCAGGCTCCAGAGGGCCTGAACACTAGTACAGAGGTGAGCAGACAGTCAAATCTCCACAGCTTATCACTGTGTGACCACCTGAGCTTCTGTTTCCTCATCGCTAAAGCAGAGATAACACCATCTTGTTGGTTTATGGTGAGGGAAGGGAGATTTTGTGATGTGCCTTTCCTGGTACCTGGCACACAATGGGCATTTGGTAAATGGCAGGACTTGATCCCACCATTATTGGTAAACTCTATTCTGTGTAGTAGGTTTAAGCACCTCTTCCCAGTGGAGTCTATCCGTCAGACTTTTCCTGAATAACCAGGTACTGAGGCAGGATAAGGCCTGTGGGTCCTTTCCTGGGCTCCTGCCACATGGCTTCCTGCCTCACTGGCGTTTGGCCATGTTGGTCTCCAGCTTGTTCCTGGCTGCTAGAAGGGGAGATTTCTGCTGTTCTCTGTGGAGTTAACGCCTGGGTTCAGGCAGGAGGGTCTGCCAGGGTTTCTAGTTTGGTCTCTGATTCGCTGGTATGGGTCACTCCCCAAATTCAGACGGAGTTTAAATCCAATCGTAACTTTGATGTGTAGCAATACCTGTGATATTAAAATCCCCTGTAAGTCTGCTTTCTGTTTTCTGGAAACATGGAGGCCATTGCTGTATTGACAGTGTATTTGGAGTTCCCCTACACAGGGCTGGGTACCTACATGAAGATGAACCATCTAAACCATCCCAAAACCTCAGGATAACTATTTGTCCTCAATTATTCCTACCTGTCTCCCTTTCCTTTACAACAGAAAAGTGCTACTGTCTTTAACCAACAGGTTTTACTTGTCACATTCCAGGGGAAATTTTTGCCAATAAGTAATGCCCTTCTAGATACTAATGACATTTGTGTCCCATGGTTTGTTTTCCCCCAATCCACAAATTCTATGTTTAGCAATAAAAATTTGACTAGCACAACAGTAGACACTATGAAAAAATAAATATGGAGCAGAAGACTGACTAATCCTGAAGCATTCCCATCCTTGATGAGGAGGCAAGATAGTCATGAAAAACAACCAGGGATGGACATGGTAGCTTACACCTGTAATCCCAGCACTTTGGGAGGCCAAGGCAGGAGGATTGCTTGAGCTCAGGAGTTTGAGACCAATCTGGGCAACATGGAAAAACCCTGTCTCTGCAAAAACAAAAACAAAAATCACCCAGGCATGGTGGCATGCACCTATAGTTGCAGCTACTTGTAAAGCAGTCTAGGGTCAATATAGCAATCTCACTGTCTGAGGTGTTATCCAGAGTTCTTTGTCTCATGACCAGGAAAATTAAGGAGTGTGGACACCAAGGGTGAGGTTGGAGTGAAAGTTTAATAAGTGAAAGAGGAAAGCTCTCAGCAGCAGAGCGGGGGACCTGAAAGAGGGTTGTTGTTTTACAGTTAAATACGAAGGTTTTTATAAGAAACTTCCCTTATCTGTGTAGGTGCTGTGTAACTTACCTTATCTGTGTAGCTACCTGTGTAGCTTCCCTTATTTGTGCAGCTGCGAGCATGTCTTAGGCAAGCATAGGGTGCAGCTTCTCTTGCCTGAGCAACTACGGGCATGTTTTAAGCAAGCCCCCACCCCACCCCATGCAAGTTCTCATGGAGCCCACTGTGTACATGCCCAAAAAGGGGAGGAAACTTTTTCCTGGGAGTGCACTGATTACACAGAGAACCAAGGCATTTCTATGTTGGGCCTCACTCCCTTATCTGTGCCTGTAGCTTGATTTTTCCAAGCTGCTCTTTATGTGCCTGCAGCTTGATTTTTTCCAGACTGCTGTTTTGTTTGAAAGAATTCCACCAAGGACCTGCCCTAACTGTCTGCCTGCTTTTTTTCTTTCTCCTTCCTCACTTGGGAGGCTGAGGCAGGAGGATCACCTGGGCTTGGGGAGGTCGAGGCTACAGTGAGCTGTGATTGCACCACTGGACTCCAGCCTGGGTGACAGAGTGAGATCCTGTCTCAAAAAACAAACAAACAAAAAAAAAACAACAAAGAAACATACACAAAAAAAACCCAAAAAACCAGCAATGAGAAAACTGGAAACAACCAGGTTTTTTCCATCAGTAAGAGAATGGTGATACTGACTGTGGTATACTCTTACATTAGGCAAGCACGGGGTGCATCTTCTCTTGCCTGAGCAACTATGGGAACACTATTCAGCCATGAAAAGGAACAAACTGTCATTTGTTTTTGAGACAGTCTTGCTCTGTCACCCAGGTGGGAATATAGTGGTGTGATCATGTCTCTCTGCAGCCTCAACCTCCTGGGCTCAAGTGATTCTCCCACCTCAGCCTCCCAAGTAGCTGAGACCACAGGTACACACCACCATGCTCAGCTAATTAAAAAAAAATTTTTTTTGTAAAGATGAGGTCTTTCTATGTTGCCCAGGTTCGTCTCGAACTCCTGGGCTCAATTGATTCTCCCACCTCAGCCTCCCAAGTAGCTGAGACCACAGGTACACACCACCATGCTCAGCTAATTAAAAAAAAATTTTTTTTGTAAAGATGAGGTCTTTCTATGTTGCCCAGGTTCGTCTCGAACTCCTGGGCTCAAGCAATCCTCCTGCCTTGACCTCCCAAAATGCTGGGATTATGAGATTATAGGCATGAGCCACCACACCTGGCCAGACAGTTAATACCACAACAACAGAGATCAATCTGAAAAGCATTATGCTAACTGAAAGAAGAAAGATACAAAAGAGTATCTACTGTATGATCCCATTTTTGTGACGTGCTAGAACAGGCAATACTAATCTGTGGTACAAAAAATAAAAATAAAAACATTGGTGTCCTCTGGGGATGGGGCTGGGGATTGACTGGGAACAGATACAGAGGAATAAGATTTCTGAGGTAGTGGTAGTGTTCTGTATCATAAAAGGGGTTTGCATTCCTAGGTGATACCTTTAAAAAAGAACCATAAACAAATACTGAACTCTAGTTAATGATATGCAGGCTGAAGCATTTAAGGGTGAAGTATACTGATGTCTGCAGCCTGCTTTGAAGTGCATCGGAAAAGAAGATCGACTGATGGAAGGAGACAGAGATGAGATGGAGGGGTAGATGGATAGATATGTGATAAAGTGAACATAGCTAGATGTTCCTTGAAGAATGTAGGAGGAGGGTATCCAGGTGTTGACTATACAATTCTTTGAATTTTGCTGTGTGTTTGAAATTCTTCATAATAAAAAGACAGAAAAAGAAAACAATTAGAGAGCAGTTCTCAGGCTGGGTTTCCAAGCAGTCGTTGTGAGGCATAGAGTAGAAATATAATAGAGCTGGCTGTTCAGAAGCCTCAAGTATTACTCTCCACTGTATGAGGCCTCTGCAGGTCATTGGCCTTTGCAGTTCTACTACCAGGAATCAGTTGACTCCTAATTATTGTCTAAAAACGACCAAACTGGACATAAAACATGCTGTAATTATAGCTGTTGTCTTTGTAAAGGCTTTGCTTTCTATCTTCCAAACAGATGAAGAAAAAATGCCTGCAAACTCCATGTATTAGCTACCCCTTTTCCAGCAGTGTGAGATGGGAATATACTTGGCTTGCCTTAGCTGGGAAGTGGCTGTGGAGATAGAGGGGTGGCTTGGCTTGTTGCAGGAGCTGGAAAAAGGGCAGGCCACACTGGGCTGTGGAGGAGGGGGCTGGTCCTTTTCCCCCAGAGTGACTCTGTGCTTCATCCCAAGTTTCCTCACTTGCCTAAGACACCCTGGGTCCCCAGGGAGGAGGGTGGCTCGTTAAGCTAGATTCTCTCATCTGGCATCTGCCCATGAGCATGCAAGCCTTCATAACATCTCTGCTTCTGCTGTTTTCAAAGGTTGGAAAACAAAGAACCGGACCAAAGAGGAGGCAGACTCTGCTCCCACCTTCGGACATGGTGCCATCTTTGTTTTCCTCTCCAGGTGATCGTGTTGCCATCGAATCTGGTGCTCCCCGAGAAAATGATGAATTCTGCAAGATGGGCCGATACAATCTGTCACCTTCCATCTTCTTCTGTGCCACACCCCCCGATGATGGGAACCTCTGCCGGTTCTATAAGCACAATGCAGCCTTTTGTTACAAGTTAGTGTCCACAGTCCCACTGGGTCACCTGGGACCTCTTTCCCTTCATTAACTTGGTGCTGTTTCCTGTGGTTATTTCTTTATTCTTTCAGCTCCTAATTCCAAACATGAGGCATCGCCTGGGCAGGCTACTCTTCTTGGTGGCATTGAGAGAGGGTAGCCTCCCTAGGAATAAGACTGACTCACAGTGGTTGGTTTTAGTCTTTCAGTTCCAGTTTCCCTTACTTAGAGCAACAATAGAAAATTATTGCTGAAATCACTCACCCTCTGCAGACATCCTGGAGGGAATTCCTGTGGTTCATCCTCTGTTATTAGTTTCCACTGCAACCACCAGAAAGGAAACCTGTAACAACAATGACCTCGACAATAGCAACAACACACCATGACAGCAACGGCTGACATTTCCTGAGGTGTGGTGTGCTGCCAGGGCTTGAGTTCTGGGATCCTGGATCTACTCCCTCCTGGCAAGTGAATTTGGAGAAATGATTTCACTTTTCTCTGCTTCAGTTTCATTTAATCGCCAAAATATTAAATAAGGTGATGCATGGAGAGTCATAATTATTATTACTATGTGCCTGCCCTTGTGCTAATAAGTGTTTAAATGCCTTAATTTATTTAATCTCCACAAGAATAATGGTGAGGTGGGCACCGTTATTGGGTTAACCAAGGCAGAAGGAAGCTCATTGACTTGGGCACAGAGCACAACCAAGAGTCAAACTGGGGTCTCTGTGAGTCTCAAGCTCCTGCCCTGTGCCCACTCCCCTACCCTACTCCGATTCTCACCCCTGAAATTGTGAAGTTGAGTCTGGAGGAAGCAAAGTGCCTCCCTTTCTGCGTGGCCCCCCATGGCCCCAGCCGTGGAGCTCTAGGGTGCCGAAGTGCCGCTTTCCCCCTGACCCAACCCAGATGCATTCTTCCCCCACCGCAGCCTGGCCCCAGTGGTGGTTTTCAGCCAGGATGGGGCTTGTCCGATGGAGGCCAGGTGCCAGTCACAGGAGCAGTCTGACAGATCTGAGTTTTTCTAGGGCCCACTGGGAGCCTTGAGAGGAGTCACAGGCCAGAGACCTTGTGATGGGTTTAAGTCAACACCTGAACCTGCTCTAGAAGTAAGCAGGTTACATGTGCAGAGTACACCTTTCAGCAAGTGGTTCCTGAATGGGCCCATCTTTCTCGGGCCCTTTCCAAGTCAAGACACCAAACGAAAGTTTCATGGAAGGCAGAAGAGCATAGTGGTGAAGCCCACTGGTCTCTGCCAATTACAACTGTGTGACCTTGGGCAAGTCACTTAAATTTTGTAACCTCAATATCCTCGCCTGTAAAATAGAAATAGTAATGGTACCTCCCTCACAGAATTACTGATGAGATCCAATGAGAAAAGCATATCAAGTCTCCAGCATGAGGTCTGGCACATAGTAGGTGCTCAGTAAATGGTACCAAGCTATGCCATAGTCATGGCCTAGTGGTCTGGGCATGGAGGTGCAGGAGTAGGCCTGAAAGAGAGCCTTGTGCTGGTGGTTTATAGGGAATGATGGGGCTCTGGCTGGCAGTGGCAGTGGCAGTGGGGGTGCTGAGGAAGGTCTCTGGGGAGTCCTACAGCCCTGCCTTTCTTCTCCTCCCAGGGGGCTTTCTGCCTGTGTCCCCAGTTCTTCCCTAGACCCAAGCCCTCCTCTCTGATGTCTTTTTAGGATTCCCATACTACCACAGCCTCTTTATTTTTGTATCTATTTTCTTTCTATTTTCCTGCTTCCTCCTTGGCTTCTTGATCATCCGTTACCCAATTTGGACTGTTCCCTGAACCCCATTGTAAAAACTACCAAGTTGCCTCATCACTCTCTGGTGTTTATAAAGCATGAAAGGTTGGGGCTGGGAAGAAACTTGGAGTCTTCTCATCCTCGTTCTCCATCAACCCCCACTGGACAAGATTGGGGAGGGTGGAGTCAGTGGTTTTCCCAAGGTCAGTGGCAGCGGGGCTGGCCTCCAGGACTCCTTGTGCATGCTTCTGCCTCCACACCAGGTGGCTTTCCAACACAGTTGGCTGTGTTGGGTGCAGGCGGATGAGGCAGCATCTGCTTAATCAGTAGAGTATTCTTCCTGATAACAATCTTCCCTCATCACCTTCCCCAATCCCATCTCTCCTTGATGTAGTTTCCACGCAAGCCACCCTCTGCATAGAGCCCTTATGAGTTCCTCAGGAGGCCCAGATGTGGAAGGGCAGGCATGTCTAGGAACCTGTGGAGTCCCTAAGAGAGTTTAGGCATCTTCACAATTTCATTTTCACCTTTTTCCTATTATATAGAAGGGATACTTCTAGGGGGAGTAGAAGGAGTGTGACCGCAGTCAGAGCAGGAGAGTGGATTGGAGTAGGGGAAGTGATGGGAAAGAAGCCGAGGGGAAGGGATAAGGGGGTGGTGGGTGGCAGCTGGGCCTCCATTGGCCTGGTGAGTAGTTCTGTCAAGGATCAGGGACAGTGACAGGAGGACTCCGAGTTATTCTGTTGAAGATTGGAGACAGTGTTGAAAGGATCATGGGGATGAGCACATGGTTTGGCTGTCACATTTATTTCTTTTTGGAACTTGAGGGTTTTCCTGTTCCTGTGTGTGGAGATTTGGGGTGCTGGGTAAATCCTGGGCAGTGAGGAACTAGCAGAAATTAGATATTAATATTAGCTACACAGCTGCTCATACCAGGATGGAGCTGATATGGGACAGGCAGAGGATGTGGAATCAGGACACCTTTGTTAAGTCTGGCCTTCATTCCCTAGCTTCATAACCTTGGCAATTCTCTTAATGTCATGTCAGTGAGTTTCCGTTTACTCTTCTGTAAAATAAATGTTTTTTAAAAAAAGCCTGCCCTACCTGCCTAACATGGTTTTCATGAGGATTAAATGAGATAACGGATGAGCATGCTTCCTAATCTGTAAAGCTTTATGCAGATATTTGCTGTCGTCATCAGCTGTATTATTGATAGGGTTAAGATGCCAGTGGAAGTGAAAACCTAGAACCCAGAGTGAAGGTGACACAGCATTTAATCTGCTATGTGGAACAGGTCCTTTCATCTTAACTGGTCCTGGGTCAGCGGGGCAGCTGCTGTCCTCAGATGTGGTTCTTCTGGAATGTATAATATGGGAGGCGACTATCAGAGTGATGCCCATTGCTAAATCACTGTTCTGCAAAACTGGTGATAGTCAGGATTGTTTGCTAAAGTGAAACTAAAAAGGCTGTAAGTTTGGGAAGCAGATGAGATGCTGGAAGGTGGCCATATTAACTCCTTGTTAAATAAACTTTTCGGCCGGGCATGGTGGCTCACACCTATAATCCCAGCACTTTGGGAGGCCGAGGCGGGCGGATCACAAGGTCAGGAGGTCGAGACCATCCTGGATAACACGGTGAAACCCCGTCTCTACTAGAAAATATAAAAAATTAGCCCGGCATGGTGGCGGGCGCCTGTAGTCCCAGCTGCTCAGGAGGCTGAGGTGAGAGAATGGCGTGAACCTGGGAGACAGAGCTTGCAGTGAGCCGAGATTGCGCCACTACACTCCAGCCTGGGAGATAGAGTGAGACTCCATCTCAAAAATAAATAAATAAATAAATAAGTAAATAAATAAACAAACTTTTCATTTATTAATGATAACCACCATACCGTACCTTGGATAGCACATTAAAGAAAACATAATGTGTTCATTTCACTGAATTGATTTACCCAAAGAAAACCATGTTGCCTTCTTCAGATGGGGACATTGTGGCATGGGTTCTGTGATGAGAACATATCTGGCTTCTAATTTGAACGCTTTTGGCTCCTCACTAGCTTTGGACCGCTGGGGCAAGTCATTTAACCCACCACGCCTGTTTCCTCATCTGTAAAATGGGAATGATAGTACCTACCACAGAACTATTCCAGGGATTTACGTGAGTTAATGTATATAAATTGCTTAGCACATTGCTCTGCACATAAATAAATGCTCAATAAATGTTAGCTATTGTTGTTATTACAGTGACGTTGGGCATATATAATACTATTGTTAGCATTGTAGTTAACTCAGAGGATCTCTGTGTGTCAATTGACTCCTCAGGCTTCCTGACAATGTCACCTTTGAGGAAGGCGCCCTGATTGATCCACTTTCTGTGGGGATCCATGCCTGCAGGAGAGGCGGAGTTACCCTGGGACACAAGGTCCTTGTGTGTGGAGCTGGTAAGAAACAGAAGCCACCCTGTTGCGGGTTCATTGACTGGGAATTCAGGGAACCCTCTGCCCATCTCATTCCCCCTCCAAGGCTTGAGATTTGTTCTAGAATCCTTCTGGGTAAAGGAGGATTGCAGTGTCCCATTCCCTCAGTGACTAGCACTTTGCTAAACAAATGAGTATCTGTGGACATGATATTAACTAGGGTTATATGTCCTAGGCAACATAGCCCTTTCATTCATTTAAAGAATGAATTGGCTGGGCACGGTGGCTCCTGCCTATAATCCCAGCACTTTGGGAGACCAAAGCCGGTGGATCACTTGAACCCAGGAGTTCGAGACCAGTCTGGGTAACATGGTGAAACCCCATCTCTACAAAAAAATACAAAAATTAGCCGGTGTGGTAGTGTGTGCCTATAGTCCCAGCTACTCAGAAGGCTGAGGTGGGAGGGTCACTTGAGCCTGGGAGGTCAAGAGTGCAGTGAGCCATGATTGTGCCACTGAACTCCAGTCTGGGTGGCAGAACAAGACCCTGTCTCAAAAAAAACAAGACCCCATCTCAAAACAAACAAACAAAAAGAATGAATCTGTGCCAGGCACAGTGTCTCATGCCTATAATCCCAGCACTCGGGAAGGCTGAGGCGGGTGGATCACTTGAGGCCGAAAGTTCAAGACCAGCCTGGCCAACATGATGAAACCTCATCTTTACTAAAAATACAAAAATTAGCTGGGTGTGGTGGTGCGCCCCCTGTAGTCCCACTTACTTGGAAGGACGAGACAGGAGAATCACTTGAACCTGGGAAGCAGAGGTTGCAGTGAGCAAAGATCATGCCACTGCGCTCCAGCCTGGGCGACAGAGCGAGATTCTGTCTCAAAAAAAAAAAAAAAAAAAAAAAAAAAGGGAATTAATCTGGCGATTATTTTTGAACCCTTGATGGGAAACTAGGAAAATTTTTTTATTTGCGTGATCTTGGCTCACTGCAACCTCCACCTTAGAGAAATATTTTTGATAGTAAAGGGAAGGGCAACTCTTGGAACTTTCAAATTATACCAGCAAAGTGATGGCCTAGTCCCATCTATGAATAAGGTAGACCCTGCTCCCAGCCAGTGGGAGGAGTGAGCAGTGGTCTGCTCCCACACCACTGTGAGCCAGCAGTCTGCCTGCAGTAGGGTTGTAGCTAGCTGCCTTCTCTCATCCCCTGTTTCCAGCCATCTTTCCAGCCATCTGGAACAAGCCCTAGCAGCCTCAGAACGAATCATTCTGGTGACCCAGACAGTACGCTCACACTCCTTGTGGGTGTGATCTGGTGTTCCTCATACTTGTTTGTGATTTTCTTTGGCTGGCCAAATAAGTGATCACACGGCTTCCTAAGAGGGGTGATGGATGTAGAATAGACTTGCCACAATGGGCTAGCAGACTGCGGGACTCAGGTGACAGATTCTTATAAAAATCTGCATGGATCCAGTACCTTTTTACCATAGAAAAGGAAAATAAGTCACACATACCACACACATGCATGCCTTGCCCCCAACACACACACACACAGAAATTCACCTGTAATCCCATTACCGATTAGCCCAAGAGAACCACTATTAATATTTGGGTATAGAATCTTTTAGTTAGTTGGTTTTTTCTGAGACCATGCTAAATACGCTTCCTTTACCTACTCTTTTTTAAAAATCAGGCTGGGCACAGTGGCTCATGCCTGTAATCCTAGCACTTTGGGAGGCTGAGGCAGGCAGATCACCTGAGGTCAGGAATTTGAGATCAGCCTGGCCAACATGGTGAAACCCTGTCTCTACTAAAAAAACAAAAAGTAGCCAGGCTTGGTGGCGGGCGCCTGTAATCTCCACTACTTAGGAGGCTGAGGTGAGAGAATTGCTTGAACCCGGGAGGCGAAGGTTGCAGTGAGCTGAGATTGCAACACTACACTCCAGCCTGGGTGACAGAGCAAGACTCTGTCTCCAAAAAAAAAAAAAAATCAATATACTGTGAACATTTTTCCATGTCAATAGATAAAGAGTTATGGCGTAATTTTTAGTAGCCATGTAGTTTTTTAATCATGCTTTGTTGGACATTTCAGGTATTATTTTTCAGTGTTTTGTTTTCTGAGGGAGCTCACAAAATTGTTCTTAGGGGATGTGTACAAAAAGTAAACCCCCAAAGATATTCTGCATTGCTTTCATTCTGTGGGTCTGATTTTTATATTAAAACCATAGTGTCACATAGCATGCAGATACTATGGGGAAGCAGGTGTCTCAGGCAAATCCTTGGATACCTGAGTATCCTGGGGCTATCTGGGCACCTGGGCCAACCCAGGGAGCCAGCTCACTTAAGAACCCTCTCCAGGTGGTCCTCAGAGGGCACCTAAAAGGAATATGTCTCTCTCTGGGGGAGGTGTGATGGGTTCTCACGAAGGTAGGGGCAAAGAAAGAACAGGAAAACAAGTCCAGACCTTCTGAGATTTCTTATTTTCTGAGTAAGTTTGTGTTTCCTTGAATCCCGTGGTTCTTTGAGATTATCTCCACTAGTGCCCAGGAGTAAGTGGGAAAATTTTAGCTCTGAGGTTTGAGAGGATTAAATAGAACCCAGCACTAGGAGCGTATTTTATGTAGAGAATAATTCTTCATGGATTCATTCTCTTCTGCATTCAACAAACAGCCGCTAAGGTCTTATCATGCCAGGCACTGGGATAGATGCTAGAGACACACAAAAGATGTGGTTCCTGTCCGTGGCCTGGACAAGTGGGAGAGCAGATGTTTAATATTTCACAATCTTATATCTTTTGCTTTGTTTAGGGGCAATCGGGGTAGTCACTTTGCTCGTGGCCAAGGCAATGGGAGCAGCTCAAGTAGTGGTGACTGGTAAGACTTTGTTCTTTATCAATCTCCTTGACTGGGAAACAGCTGGTCCTACTGTATGTGCATGTGTGAGGAGAGGTTATCTGTGACAGTGTGGAGGGGGTGAGTGTGTAGTGTCATATGGATTGTGGAGATATAGAGGAGTGTGAGTGTGTGTTTTGTGTTAGGAGAAGCTATGAGAGAGAGAGAGTTTGTGTGAGAGTGTGTGTGTGTGTGTGTGTGTGTGTAGCTGTATGGTGGATATGGGGGTATATGAGGGTGTAGAGCAGAGCAGGGGTGTCCAATCTTTTGGCTTCCTTGGGCCACATTGGAAGAATGGTCTTGGGCCCCACATAAAATACCCTAACACTAATGATAGCTGATGAACTTTACAAAACTGTTTTTTAATTTCATAATATTTTTAGAGAGTTTACAGATTTGTGTTGGGCCATATTCAAAGCCATCCTGGGCTGCATGTGGGCTGCAGGTTGGACAAGCTTGGTGTGAAGAGTATGTGTGTTGGGCTCAACACCACCACCCATTGCACGAGAGCTTTGTTGCCATCAGATCTTACACCTCCATTTTCTTTTCTTCCTAATGAGTCATCAGATTTCTCTTGTTTGAAAGAATTTTTTTTTTTTTTTTTACCTTCAGATCTGTCTGCTACCCGATTGTCCAAAGCCAAGGAGATTGGGGCTGATTTAGTCCTCCAGATCTCCAAGGAGAGCCCTCAGGAAATCGCCAGGAAAGTAGAAGGTCTGCTGGGGTGCAAGCCGGAAGTCACCATCGAGTGCACGGGGCAGAGGCCTCCATCCAGGCAGGCATCTACGTGAGTGGGCTGAGGGCAGCTTTGGGGAATCAGCGTAGGGGAGTGAAGGAGGCAGAAGTAGGGAGTCAAACTTCTTTACCAGCTTGCTGCGTGAGCCCCAAGCCAAACTTATACATCTTTTGCTATCTCTGTTTTCTTATCTCTAGTGTGGAGCCTGTACTTGAACTTGCCTTACATCCTCATTGGGCCATCTGAGGTTCACACAAGATAACAGCTATACATGGGCCTTGAAAAATGTTAAGGACACACACTTTGGGGACGCAGTTGGCTTCATGATCATATCTGTGATGTTAAAAGTGCAGTAGTTTTGGTAAAAAGATCAAGAAGAAAAACAGGGAACCATGCCTTAATTGTATGTGGGAAATCTCTGTCTTATTTTATTGAGGAAAACTGCAGTCTTTTAGTCATAGATATAAAGTGACAGTCATTCAGTTAGTCATGAAGGTGAGGTGATTTTCCAGGGTCACAGCTGACTACTGCTTGTTTTGTCTCCCAGACCTAGGAACAGATAAGCTGCCAATGCCTGATTCGCCCCTCAGCGACCCACCAGCCACTTATGGGAAGTTGGCAGGAAGTTGGAGGTGGTGGGAGGGAGTGGCACTGACAGATCAAAGTATGAGGAAACGAAGGGAAAATAACAACTTCCAGGTTCCAAGCCCTACTGTATGCCAGGTTCTCTGCTGTACTTTATAAACATGAGGCCTAATCTGCACAACAGCCCTGAAAACCAGTTACCGTTTTATGCTGAGGGATTTGTGGTTTGTTTGAGGCAAGCCAAGTCAGGCCCAGGCCCAGCCCTGCCAGGCCCCAGTGCCTGAGTTGCCCCGCTGCTTAGGAGAGGAAGGGAAGGAGGGCACGAACAACCATGCTAGGGTGGGGGGACAGGGCCAGGGCTGGAGAGGGTAGCAGGCAGCCGCCACCACAGGGGTCTCCTGTCCCTGCCTCCCAGACAGCCTCCCCAGGTAGCGTGGGCTTCCTCCTTCCTTCTGAGGCTCACAGCAGGAGGGCACTTTGCATCACATGAGACATTCTAGGGAAGGCTGACCCACCAAGCTGAGTAGCAGAGCTGCCTAGACCTCCTCCTACTAAGTTGCCCAGCGGCCTTGGGAGCTGAGGAAGCAGTGGGGGAGAGGGAGGAGCGGGTGCCACCTTGGCAGTGTCGTGAGTTTCAGCTGGAGTCCGCCAGCCCTCTGCTTCACTGTCATAGGCAGTGGTCGCCATGTGGGAAGGGGCAAAAAGAAGCCGAAGCTCAGAGAGGAACAATGGATCTGTGTGTGATTGATCTACCCATGGTATGTCTTGGGCACCTACCATGTGCCAGGCTTTGTGCTGGGCACTTTGAGGGCTAAGACATGAGTAGGTTGCATCTGCTGTCTTCAAGTTGTCAGCAGGTAAGTGACCTCCACCCCGCAGAGAGGCAGTATAAGCTGGGGGACTTAAAGGACATGGCTCTCCTTCCTCTTGTGCCCTGCCCTTAGAGCATTTGGAACAGTTGGCATTTCCACTGTTGATGGTGGGGGCCTGGTTGCCAGGCTACCTGAGGCAGGCATGGAGGTGAATGTGACCCATGGGCCTCACCAGGCCTGAAGCAGTGTCTCTCCTGACGTCACGCATGACGGGTGCTGTAGAATGCTATAGGCCACCCCGCCAATGAGCAGGCTAGGTGGCTGGACCAAATATGGACAAATCTGAGCATCGCCGTCCTGCCAGGTTATGACTGGATAGTGTTTGTGATGAGACATGGCAGATGCCTTGGGGTAGAATTGATGTCATATCCTTGATGCAGATGCCATACCTACAGGATAGTGTCCAGGTGGTTCCAGCATTCCTTGACCTTGGGTCAGCAAACTGCTGGCATCTTGGCAGCTTGGAATGGCCAGTTGGTGTTCCTCCTCACCACCAGGTAGAGAGGAAGTGCTGATAAGGAAGTAGTTTCCCTAGAAAATGGGCTGAGAGGGCACGTCCAGGGTGCCACAGCTCTGAAGCAGCAGCGCTGGGAGTCACTCCCACACCACTCAAACCCTGAGTTCACCTCTTGCTCACGGCACCACAGGCCTCTCTCCATGGTGTATCCTTCATCTCAGAAGTGGAGGCTGTGATCGTGGTGTATCCTTCATCTCAGAAATGGAGGCTGTGACATGTGCCTTTCTCTAGTTCCACTGTTTAGCACCTAGAATGGTCCCAATAAATGCTTGCTGCTGACTATAATGAACAACCAGCATGATTGAATTATCCATTGTTCTGTCTCTCACCGCACTGAGCACAGTGATCCCCAGAAAGCTCTGGAACAAGCACAGCACTCACAGGGAGTTCTGGGGAAATTTTCAGGAGAAATTTCACTGCTGCCTGTGACCCACTCCAAGTGGGGAACTGATAAGGCAGATAAACATTCAAGGAAGACAAAACCCATTATGGCTCATACTGTTGAGGTAAACATCTCTGGAACAAAAAGATTTCTAACTGCCAGCCTGCACGCATGTATGAAGCCTTTTTTAAGCCACAGAATACAAGTGGCCCATCTGTCTCATGTTTATAGTTTTCTCACCACCGGTGAGCTTAGAGGGCCAGTGGTTCCTTCCAGCTCTGATGAAAGTGCTGCCTGTGGAGGGGCGCTCTGGGGGAGGAACAGGTGCTTAGACTGTGGAGGTGGCTGAAGCCAATATTGGGTCCCGAATCTGTAAAGCTTTGGAAGATGTTCCCACTGTGCCTGGTTCTCCATGGGTTAAGTGTATGTTTTCAGAATACACTTTAAAGAAAACCGTGTTTACTCTCCCGCTCAGTTAAGTTTGGTTGGCAGGTTGAGCAGTTCAGCAGTGTACACAAATCACATTCTCAGGAATTTTTGGATGCTCAGCTGATGCAACCAGAAGATACTTGTGTGATGACAATATGTTATTGTAAGTGGGAAGTCAGTATTTCTTATCTTCTGAGCTTTCTTGTTTTTACCTCCTTTACAGGCCACTCGCTCTGGTGGGAACCTCGTGCTTGTGGGGCTGGGCTCTGAGATGACCACCGTACCCCTACTGCATGCAGCCATCCGGGAGGTGGATATCAAGGGCGTGTTTCGATACTGCAACACGTGAGTATGCTGTGGGTGAGCCGGGATGCCCAGCCTCCAGCAAGACCATGGCAGGCCCCACTCAGCCTCTGGCCCATGAGTCTCTGCCTGTTTGTTCATGGGGGGCACTCCCTGGCCACACTGATAGCTGTGTGATATAACAGGGATCCAAAGAGAGAACACTCACTCCCAATTAAAGAATGGGAAGGCCGGGCGTGGCGGCTCATGCCTGTAATCCCAGCACTTTGGGAGGCCGAGGCAGGCGGATCACGAGGTCAGGAGATCGAGAGCATCCTGGCTAACACGGTGACCCCTGTCTCTACTAAAAATACAAAAAATTAGCCAGGCATGGTGGTGGGTGTCTGTAGTCCCAGCTACTTGGGATGCTGAGGCAGGAGAGTGGTGTGAACCCAGGAGGCAGAGATTGCAGTGAGCGGAGATCGCACCACTGCACTCCAGCCTGGGCAACAGAGCCAGACTCTGTCTCAAAAAAAAAAAAAGAATGGGAGGAACAGAAGGATGGATGGAGGGAGGGAAGGAGGGGATTTTGAAGCATAGTCTTACTGAGTGTCTGCTGCTTATCCGCCCTAGGCCCCTTTATCCCCCAATTTTCTTAAGTTACCAGGTCTCCATTTTCTCCATTTAAAGGGAAGAAGGAGAGAAAGGAGGACAAAAGGAAGAAATCAAGTCCTGTGGCTTCCGTTCCTTAGCCCTAGGGCCCACCCTGGGGAGCGAAAGGGTCTTAGTTTGCCCCACCCATGTTCTGCAGCTCCACCCTCTCCCCTGCTGGGGCCCTCTGGCTGGGACCCCTCTCCCCAGCAGTGTCCCTTACTCCTGGCTTTAGAGGCTGTAACTCCCTGCCCTCATCAGGGCGCCAGTTTTCCAGTAAGCTGAGCTGTTAGTGGGTGTGACTGGATTGTCCCGGGCTGCCTCCCCACGGCTTCTCTGCCTTTTCCCAGTGGCCTCCACCATGTGCCTCGTACCTTCATGCCACAGGAATTCTAGGCTCCATGGCAGACGTGGCAGAGTGAGCGGGTGGGTGAGGGGTGGGGGCAATTGGAAATAGGCTCTGTACCCCTGAATCATAAGCCATAAGGTCCTTTCCTGGGTTGTTGGCCTGTAAAATTGGCTTTGCAGAACCACAGTGCTATCAATAAATACGGCCAAGCTGATCTAGTGCTTGGTAGTTTGGGGCACCTGGCTCTTTCCTCTTGAAGGTTGAATATAATGCTCGTGCTCTTTTACAGGTGGCCAGTGGCGATTTCGATGCTTGCGTCCAAGTCTGTGAATGTAAAACCCCTCGTCACCCATAGGTTTCCTCTGGAGAAAGCTCTGGAGGCCTTTGAAACATTTAAAAAGGGATTGGGGTTGAAAATCATGCTCAAGTGTGACCCCAGTGACCAGAATCTCTGATGTTAATGGGCTCTGCCCTCATCCCCACAGTCTCGGGATCTCAGGGCACAACGGATGGACACGAGTGGGCTCTGATGCAGAACTTTCTCTTTTGAATGTTAAGAATAACTAATACAATTCATTGTGAACAGAAGTCCTTAAGCAGAGGAATTGGTGTGCCTTAAAGATACAATCTGCGATAGTTTGGGGGAACTTGTAGCCAGAATGCCCTGTTCATGCTGAGCAAAGTTCAGCAAGTAGAGCAGAGTTTGGCAGGCAGGTGCCAGGAACTCCCCTTCTTCCTGGAGTGCCTTCATTGAGGAAGGAAATCTGGCCCTTGGGTTTCCTGGTTCCACTGCTACTGACCCGGAGGGGAATGAGGGCTGAGTTATGAAAAGATAACTTCATGAAGACTTAACTGGCCCAGAAGCTGATTTTCATGAAAATCTGCCACTCAGCGTCTGGGATGAAGGCTTGTCAGCACTTCCAGTTTAGAACGCAATGTTTCTAGAGACATATTGGCTGTTTGTTTTGATGATAAAAGGAGAATAAGAAAAGGCATCACTTTCCTGGATCAAGGATAATTTTAAAACCAATCAAATGAAAAAAACAAACAAATGAAAAAGGAAATTTCATGTGAGGTTAAATCAGCTTGCATTCCCCTAATGTGGAAAAAGTAAGAGGACTACTCAGCACTGTTTGAAGATTGCCTCTTCTACAGCTTCTGAGAAGTGTGTTATTTCACTTGCCAAGTGAAGGACCCCCTCCCCAACATGCCCCAGCCCACCCCTAAGCATGGTCCCTTGTCACCAGGCAACCAGGAAACTGCTACCTGTGGACCTCACCAGAGACCAGGAGGGTTTAGTTAGCTCACAAGACTTCCCCACCCCAGAAGATTAGCATCCCGTACTAGGCTCATACTCAACTGATGATTATTAGACAATTCCATTTCTTTCTGGTTATTATAAACAGAAAATCTTTCCTCTTCTCATTGCCAGTAAAGGCTCTTGGTATCTTTCTGTTGGAATGATTTCTATGAACTTGTCTTATTTTAATGGTGGGTTTTTTTTCTGGTAAGATTTGGATCCAAGTCGCATCATGCCCACTTGTGACTTTGAGATTATTCATCAAGAATGAGGATATAGTAGCCATGACATAGCTTGAGCTATAGCCTTTAATCCCTTACTTCGGCTGTGGGGGGAGGGTGAGTTTGAAAATGTTCTGATTTTCTTGTAACCTGGGAAAGCCATGACCTTGTGCCCGATTCTTTCAGATTGCTTTGGGTAATAAATATTGGTGGTGGTATCTGACTCATGCTGCTGTTTATGGTCCTGTTTAGCAGGGAATGGACTTAGATTACCCATTTCCCAGAGGAAAGGGTCCCAGGATTTTTGAAGGTTACATATTTTCTGTACCAAATATAATTTCATTGACATGAATTATCTCTAATCCTCATGACAAGTCACATACACAATCATTTTGTAGATAAAGAAGATATAAATGCCAGAGGAGACCTTAAGATTGTCTTAACACAACCCTTCAGTTAACAAGGGAGGAAATTGAGGCTCAGATTGGGGAAGTGACTTGGCAAATCACACAGTGGGTTAGTCAATGGCCCAGGATTAGACAGAACCCAGGAATCCTGACATCAAATCCTTTACAACATGCTGCCTCTCATAGGCCTGAGGTGTCCAGTCCTAGAGGACAAATGATGCTCCCCATGCCACCACCCCCACCAAGCAGCTCCTACTGATGAGAAGATGCACTAAGCAGTCTTGGTGGAAACATCATCCTCACGCCCTGTGCCCCCTTTCAGGTGCCCAGAGAAGGAGCTCAGTGTCTGCTTCAGCCAGGGCTTTAAGAGAGAAGGAAGCTGGGAGTGAGGGGCAGAGGCTCTACCAGAGAATGTCTGCTGGTGTCTTGGAGCCACTTCCTGCAGCCTATGCATGCCTCGTGAAGCCATTTCACTGCTGCCCCTTCATCCTCCTCCTCCCTGAGCCCTAGGTAGAAGTCAGTGTGTGGAGGAGGCCACCCAGAGATGACCCTGACCAGGCCCCACCGCCTGTAGCCAGACCCAGCCTCTGTCCCAGCTGGCTCCTAGTTTTCAAGCATTGCTTCCCTGTTAGTTGGCCTCAGTACCTTGAACCTAGGTTGACATCATGAGCAGAGGACAGTTCTTAGGAAAGGCAAATATCCCATAAATCCTATTTGCCTCCCCTTCTCCTAACCTCTGGCTCCACCAACTCCCCAACAGGCCTCCTGCACACACAATAGGAGCCAGGAGGGAGGAGGCAGGACTGTGCTACACAAGGGAGACTGGGTGGGGAAGATGTCAGAGAACCAGTGACTGAGTGCAGAGGTGACTTCACACCAGCATCTGCTGTAGCCAGAGGTGGGCTGCAAGAGGGAATTAGTGGAGCCAACATGTCCCCTTTCTCCTTTAGATTCCATGGAGCAGTCCGCTGCTTTCTACCTTCCAGGTTGCCTGTAGGGTCCTTCCCAGCTCTCCGCCCTGACACCTCTTCACTCTCTAGCACTCTAGAGGTGCTGACTGGGTGGTGTCCTCAGTGTTGACTGAAAGCGTGAATCAAGTGCCAGGCACTGGTGACAGAGCACACAGAGGCTGCTGGTCCTCCCAAGGTCGGGGAGCTTGTGGGGAATTCACATTCTTGGTTCCGGGACTGATTCACTGAGTGAATCAATATTGATTGAGCACTTAGTTGGTTGTGGTGGTGGTAGGAATGAATTCCTGGGCTTCCTGCAGCCCCTTTCCATGAATCTATACATATCAAACGTGTGCATGCATTTGTAAACATTAATGGGAGTGTACTTTACTTTTTTCATTTTACTCTTAACAGATGAGGACTTTTAAAAAATCACAATTATTAAATAATTCCCATTACTATACCTGACAAAACTAATAATAATTTCATAATAGCTAATAGTCAATCCATGCCATATTTTCCCTCATCTAAAAAAACAGAAAAATTACCTTTTTTTTGACCAAGACAGGGTCTTGATCAGAGCTCACTGCAATATCAAACTCCTGGGTTCAAGTGATCCTCCTGTCTCAGCCTCTGGAGTAGCTGGGATTATAGGCATGCACCACCATGCCTGGCTACTTTTTGTAGAGAAAAAAATTTAAAAAGGCCTCACTATGTGGCCCAGAGTGTTCTTGAATTCCTGGCCTCAAGCAATCTTCCTGCCTCAGTTTCCCAAAGCACTGAGATTACAGGCATGAGCCACCATGCCCAGCCAAAACTTTACTTTTTTATACTTGCTTTTCTGGAATCAGGATCTAAACATATTGCATGTGGTTGATATTTTAAGCCTGTTTTATTTTTTATTTTTTCTTCTTTCTTAAGCCTCTTTATTATAGTTCCCCCTACATTTTGGTTCACATGCCACTGTTATGTTGAAGAAACTGGGTCCTTTGTCTTCTGGATACCGTTTTACAAACATACTTGTTTTCATTTAATAAATGACTAAATTTCTTTCTATGTCAATAATTATACACATCATTATTTTAAATCACCACATCCCATTGTGTGGATAGACTATCATTTATAAAGCAAATTGCAGTATTTTGAGTGTTTGGATAGTTTACAGAGTTTTGCTCTAATAATAAAGTTGCAATGACAACCCTTGTTGCATATTTTTGTTCTCCTGACTCATTATTTCCTGAAGTTATTAATATGTTATTTCTTGAAGTTATATTTTAGAATGAAAATAGCTGGGGTTAAGGGTACACACATTTTTAAGGTGACCTGGTTAGACAAGAAAACACAGTATTGACATTCAGACTGTCTAAGAAAATCTCTGGGGGTGCCCCAGGCCTTGTGTGATGTGGGAGGACTCTGGGGTCTTGGGTAGCTCACAGGGGCTGCTGAGGATGAGGCCATGAAGCCACTGGCTCTCTGGCTTCAGGCCACCCTTGGGAAAGCAGGGGCCTAGACCCATAAACTTGGACAGATTGCCATTTTCCAGGCCCCAGTTTCCTTATTAGTAAAATTGGTGGTCCCTTTTAGCTCTGGGACTACTGCCAGGACATGACAACAAACAGCTCCTGTAAAGGACTGGCACAGAATTCACAGGGAACTGTGGCCCAGCTACTGTGGAGCAGTGAGCCGCCATCAATGAACTTATACTGGAAGCCTTCCCTACCCCGTCCCTCCACCTCAATTCCAGGGGACACTGGGTACCGTTCACCAAACTTTTTTTTTCTCCTCCAGGTTTATCTTACAACCAAATCCAAGCAGAGGCTGCCCCACCCCAACACCCCATTTTACACAAGGAGGGAATGCCAACAGAATTCAGCAGCCTGACTCGCTCACCCCTCACCACTTCCATTGCTCAGGGCATTGTGGGGAGGGAAAATCCCACCTCAGCCCAATACACTTCCAGAGTTCCCTACTACAGGCATTCTGCAATAGTTAACCAGACCTGGGCTCACTGACATGGTTGGGATGGAAGAGGCTGGGCAAATGGCAGCTTCAGCTAACCTTGAGGCTGCCATGTTCACTCTTCCCCACTGGTCCTCAGGAAGATGAGAATCCCTGATCCCCTGTGGCACACAGCAGAGGGCCCAGGAGGAAGAAGCCAGAGGGAGGCAAAACAGAGAGCCCGGGAAACTTGCCCACCTACAGAGAGCAAAGTGCCCTCTCCTTAAGTAATCCATTCCCACTGCCACAGCAACAGATAGGCGACTCGGAAGTTGGGGAGCCTCCGTGATGGCTTCAGGGATCTTCCCAGAAAGTACAGAGCACATGTTGCTATCTTTCTCCTGGCTAGGCCCACCCAAGTTAGTCAATATCCAGGAGCCCCTTCCCCTTGTGCCTGACCTGGCAATTTCAGGAAACTAAAGTCTGGGACTCCTGATCTATCTTTTGGCCCAGTAACAATGTTATTCAGGACAAAAATATTTCTGCTTGTAATAACCTAGAATTAGTGTTTCTTACGATATATAAAGATGGGGCATATTGCTGTTGAACACTGTCAGCAATGAAACAGCAAAAGAAACAATGGGGGAGAGGGAGGAGCATAAGACCATTGAGATCTGTTTCACTGAGAAGTTTAGGGCAGGAGCCCCTGCAACTCTAAAGAAAGGCCATTCACCAAACCTTTTTTTTTTTTTTTTTTGGAGACAGGATCTCATTCTGTCGCCCAGGCTGGAGTGCAGTGGCGTGATCTCAGCTCACTGCAACCTCCACATCCCAGATCCAAGAGATTCTCCTGTCTCAGCCTCCTGAGTAGCCAGGATTACAGGCACACACCACCACGCCTGGCTAATTTTTTTGTATTTTAGTAGATACTGGGTTTCACTATGTTGCCCTGGCTGGTCTCTTGAGCTCAGGCAATCTACTCGCCTCGGCCTCCCAAAGTGCTAGAATTACAGGCAAGAGCCACCGCACCCGGCCCATTCACCAAACTTTAACAAATCACCAGGAAGAAGTAAGGGTGGTGTGTGTAGAATGTTCCTTATTGGTTCTGACCTCTCCAAGTAGGTGCAAATCCATGTGGCATAAAATGACTTGGACTGGGTACTGGCTTAGTCCATTTTGTGTTGCTATAACAGAATACTTGGGACTGAGTGATTTACAAATAAAGGGGTTTATTTAGCTCACAGTTTTGCAGGCCGGGAAGTTTAAGGGCATGGCCCTGCCTTCTGGTAAGGGCTTTTGTGCTACACTATAACATTGCAGAGAAAGTCAAAGGGGAAGCAGACACATGTGAAGAGGCCAAACTCAAGGGACATCCTGGCTTTGTAACAACCCACTCTTGTGGATCTAATCCGTTCCTGAGAGAATCCAGTCTTGCTAGAGTGAGAACTCACTACCGCGAAAATGGCACCAAGCCATTTGGGAGGAATCTGTCCTTATGACCCAAACACCTCCCATTAGCCATCTGCTCCCAAAACTGCCACGTTGGGGATCAAATTTCAACATGAGTTTTGGTGGGGTCAAACTCAAACCATAGCAGGTGTTAATATGCAGATCTTAGATGCTCAGACCCCAAGAAACTTGGCAATTTGTAGAACCCTTAAGGAACTTTGCCTTCTGAGTGATTCGAAAGCATTTGTCACATTGCTGTTTCATTCTGTGGGCACATATGTGTATGTAACGCTGTGCTTATATAGCTTAACAATACTGTGTAGATTTTCGAGTGCTCTTGCATATTTGCGCTATCTGCTTTCAGGAATACCAAAGGGAATCATATCTTTTGCCACTCATCATGTGAGATGGGATAGGGCTGCCAGCGCTGACAGTATTAAGGTTTAACGATTCTCAGGAACTTGTGGGAAAACTGTTATCAGTAAGCAGAAGGAGTCCAACACATGATCTGTGAGAAGGTGAATGCGGAAAAAGCTGGGAGGCAAGGAACTAGTCATCCAGGGCAGACTGAAGAAAGTGACTCAGCTCTGGCCTTTGGGGACTGGGGCTGCTGGTTCTGGGGAGCAGCTGGGCTTTCAGCATAGCACAGGGACAGACAGGCTCTAGCCAGAGCTCTCCTGGGCCAACCCCAACTTGCCTTCCCCTGCACCACACACTAAATCCCCACACCTTGCTGAACACCCAACAAAACTAGGACCTGAGGAAGGCCCTTGCTCCTGCCATGCTGCCTTCCTCCGGAATGGGGTTCCAGAGGGAATGATGCTTCTGAAAGGAAAACAGACATTGCCAAGGTGGTTGGCTGGGAAAGTTTCTGTCATCCAGTCTGTGTCTGGCCATGGGCCTGTGGCTGACTGGAGGGACAGCTCTCCTGCATTTGGAAGAGGCACTGGAAGAGGCATTTGGAAGAGGCACTGGGTTGTGTAGATGTCTTGGGCTCCCTATAGTAAGAAAGAGGTGGGTACACGTTAGGCTACTCTGCTTCCTGATGACCTCGAGCAACTCACTTGACTCCTTCAAGCTTCAGGTTCCTCATCCTTTAAGTCGGAAAAATAAAACAAGCCTCAGGCTTGTCATAGGGACAGAATAAAGAAGCCTGATGCTCTTCCCCTGGTGAATGGCACTCTGATTATGTTTATTAAGTGCTTGTACCCCTGCCCTTGTCTCACCAAATTTTCTCTCTTGACCTGTTAAATGAGTAGGATGAATGACCCTCAAGACTTTTCCAGCTCTGAGCCCTGAGTCTGCAAAGGTGCTTGAAGGTACGTGAAGAGTTCCCAGGGTGGCAGAAAAGGCCTCAGCCTGGCCTTGACCCAGCATTCTCAGCAATTCCACAAACCTGCCAGGGAAAGAGAGATGGCAGCAGGCCCAGAGGCCAGGCAGGGAGGAGGAGAGGAACCAGGTGTCAGCACTTAGGAGCTGCCTCTTACCAGCCTGCTCTGCTCTGCTCCCCTGATGCCCCTCTGAAGAGCCGCTGGATCCAGGAGCTCTGGGCGGTTGGTTCACATGGACGGGGACCTCCAGAAGCCATGACCAAGTCTCACACCTACATTATGGAGGTGTCCCTAACTGGCTGGCACAGTGCCTGGCATGTAGAAGGAGCTCTGGAAATGTCTGTAGCCTCATAAGCAACCAGACCTCACTCCCAGCTCCCAGCTGTTTCCATCGTGCCCATTAGCCTGAGCTAAACCCAGAGCAGCCGGGAATCCTCAGGCCGGCAGTCTCAACATGTAGTGACTCACTGTGTGGAAGGGGAAGCCAAACCTCGAGGACCAGGAGGGGCACGTCCAGAGACTGCAGCAAGAGGAGGGCTCACCTGGCCTAGAGCCCCCTGCCCCAGAAACCCACCAGAGACAGCCTAGGGTGCAAATAAGACAACGGAGCTGGACGTCACTGAGGGACAAGGAGTAGGACCAGCTGCTCCATCCAGACAGTTTCAGCTTTTAAGGGGGAATTGTGGGGGACCCTGTGGTGTGGTGAAAACAATACCAGACCAGAGGCAGGGTTCTGAGTTCTGGGCCAGGGTCCCCAACCCATTAATTTCAGGAGAGCTAATAGTGAGTATGTTTTTTTTTTTTTTTTTTTTGAGACAGAATAGAGTCTTGCTCAGTTGTCCAGGCTGGAGTGCAGTGGTGTGATCTCAGCTCACTGCAACCTCCTCCTCCCAGGTTCAAGCAATCCTCCTGCCTCAGTCTCCCAAGTAGCTGGGATTGTAGGCATGAGCCACCACACCCGGCCGTGTGTATGTTCTTAACTATCCAGGTAGGAGTCAGTGAAACCTCTCAGAATCGTTATCATCTCTACAATAGAATGCTAAGCTTCTGTGAACGAGAAATAAGGAATGAATCACAACAGCTGAAACTGGGTGCCCACTATAGGCCAGACACTATTCTGAGAATACCAAATATCTTAACTCATATAACCCTCACAATAACCCTATGAGAGTAATATCATTGCCCCCATTTTAAGGCTCAGAAAACTGACATACAGAGGGATTAAATGATTTGCCCCACATCCCGCCTACTTCCTACATACATATGTTTGAATATGTGTAGAAAATAATGTCCAGGCTGATGGACATCAAACTATTAATAGTAGTTAGCTCTGGAAGAAAGGACTTTGCGGTTTTGTGTTGTTTGCCCAGCGGGATGGTTGGGGACAAGAGGACTTTCATTTTTTACTGTATAAATTCCTCTATAATTTGAAAAATTTTAAAAAAGCATGTTCATGTGTCATTTTTGTAAGTTAAGAAAAACTAATAAGAATGTCACACCTTGCTGTGGCTTTCAGGCTCAGCTGCAACATTTTCATTCCAGAAAGCCCTTGACTGCAGCAATTTCCTAGGAGCAGTGGAAGGCAGGGAAGCACCCACTCACCACTACAAGCCTAGCAGACCCCTGGGCAGCCTGGGCAGGGCGATCTGTGATACCATAGCCCGTGTAGGTTTGTTATGAGGCCTCAAGGACCGTGGGAGGACAGTTAAACAGATCCCGAAAGCGCTGGTTCCGAAAAGCCAGCTGCTTCCTTTCACTGGCACTCGGTCTTTTAACTAACCACCTACTTTATCTGATGGTCAGCGGAGTAACAGTAGGGCAGTCCTTGACACCTCCTTTTAGGTTGTGTGCCTGTATTTTTGGTTTTAGCCGTGTTTTGTGGACGCTGAGTCACTGAGTTTTGTTTTCGAATCAAGATTACGAGCCTTCCACTTTTCTGAGGAGTTCATCTGGTTTATGGCTGTGACTATGATGCCTGCACGTCCATCCTGCCTTGGATGTACCTTTATTACTTCCTTCATTTGCTTTCTTTCCCTCTGTATCACCCCCTGTGATTTCTGTAGAGGACTTTGTTTCCTGGGTCCTTTTAAATTAGGTCAGAAGGAAACATTATTTTATCTTTCTAGTTTTTAAACTGGATTTACCTTAAGAAGCTTTAACAGACTATTTTTTTGGCCGGGTGCAGTAGCTCACACCTGTAATCCTACACTTTGGGAGGCCGAGGTGGGAGGATCACTTGAGGTCAGGAGTTCAAGACCAGCCTGGCCAACACGGTGAAACCCTGTCTCTACTAAAAATACAAAAAATTAGCCGGACGTGGTGGCGGGCACCTGTAGTCCCAGCTACTTGAGAGGCTGAGGCAGGAGAATGGCGTGAACCCGGGAGGCGGAGCTTGCAGTGAGCCAAGATTGCACTCCAGCCTGGGGGACAGAGCGAGACTCTGTCTCAAAAAAAAAAAAAAAAAGAAAGAAAATCAACTGACTGAGGGAATTTAGAGGACAGGTCAATAGGTGCAGCAAACCACATGGCACACGTATACCTATGTAACAAACCTGCACATTCTGCACACGTATCCCAGAACTTAAAGTAAAAAAATAAAAATAAAAATAAATCCTTTTCTGCTTAAAATATATATAGAAAAGAAAATCAATTGACTGTTAACCAAAGGGTTTATGTCTAGACTCTAAATCTTATCTGATTGAACTATGTGACATCTTCGTGGCAGTACCAGGCTATACTGATTACTATAGCTTTGTAGAAACTTTTGAAACTGGCTCCACCTAATTTGTTCTTTTTAACGGTTGTTTTGGCTACTCTAAGTCCCTTGACTTTTAGGATCAGTTACTCAATTTCTGCAAAGAAGTCATCTGGGACTTTAATGAAGATTACATTGAATCTTGTAGATCAATTTTGGGAATATTTATTATCATCTTAGACAAATAGTCTTCTAATCTGTGAACATGGCATGTCTTTCCATTTATTTATGACTTTTTCAGTTTCTTTCAACAGTACTTTTTAGCTTTCAGAGTATAAGATTTACACTTTTTGTTAAATGTATTAAGTATTTTTCTTTTTGATGCTATTGTAAATGAAATTGCTTCTTTATTTCATTTTTGATTGCTCATTGTAAGTGTATAGAGATAGAATTGATCATTGTGTATTGATTTTTTGGTTCTGCCTACTTAAATGTAGTAGTTTCTTAGTGAATTATTTAGGATTTTTTGTATATAAATCATGCCATCTGCAAGTAGAGACAATTTTAATTTTCCTGTCCCAATATGGATGTCTTTTAATTTTTCATCTAATTACACTGGCTCTGACTTTCAGTACAATGTTAGACAGATGTTGTAGCAGATTTTTTTAAATTTTTTTTTTTGAGACGGAGTCTTGCTCTGTCACCCAGGCTGGAGTGCAGTGGCGCCATCTCGCTTCACTGCAAGCTCCACATCCCAGGTTCACGCCATTCTCCTGCCTCAGCCTCCCGAGTAGCTGGGACTACAGGTGCCCGCCATCACGCCCAGCTAATTTTTTTGTATTTTTAGTAGAGACGGGGTTTCACCGTGTTAGCCAGGATGGTTTTGATCTCCTGACCTCGTGATCCGCCCGCCTCGGCCTCCCAAAGTGCTGGGATTACAGGCGTGAGCCACCGCGCCTGGCCAACTAGCAGTCCCAGTGTTGGCTGCCGCCCCTCCCGCAAGAAGCTCAGATGGCTTAGACAGCAGGCAGCCACAGCTGTGGTGATGGCTGCCCCTCTGCCCGGGAATGCAACAGGCTTAGATAGATTCTAGCTGTTGAGAATTTGTGCGGCTCCGTGGTTGGGATCCTAGGCCATGGTAGTATGGGGTCACAAGTGGGATATTCTGATCTGTGGGTTGCACAGTTCCATGGAAAAAGCATGGCTTCCCAGGTTGCGTAGCACGCTCACTCATGGCCTCTCTTGGCTGGGGGCTCACCTCCCCCATGTAGCTTTCAGGTGGGCCACCTCACCACACTGCTATTCCTTCCTCTCCATGGGTCACACCAGCCACCTAGTCAATCCTGATGATAGAACTTGGATAACCTCAGTTGCCAGTGCAAGATTTGGATGCTGTTTTGGTTCTTTTAGATGGGAGCCTTTGATTGCCACTGCTTCTAGTCAGTCATCTTGGCCACACCCCCAGTATTTTATTTATACCTTATAACAACTCTATTGCATGGACATTATTAGCTGACTGGTAAGGATACCTGGGTAACAGAGCTCCTTTTGATTTGACAATCTTTACTTCAGAGAGTCACTGGACCAGGCTATATTAGCTTGGGAAGGCTGAGAATGATGAATAAGGCTATGTTTATGTCCAAGTATATTGTACTGAGCTGGACACCAACTTTAGTTTTATCATAAATCGTATAGTCCCAAAAGTAATGGTGTGCAACTGACCCAAATGAGGGCATCCCAATATTTATTCAGGCTACCTAACATGCAGGGCAAGTCCACCCTTATTAACAGAGGGGGATAGTTGGGTGTCTAGAAAGTCTAATGTGATCCTCTCTCAAAGTTATCATTTGCAACTGTGGGTCTATTGTTGGGAATTTTATAACTCCTTTGGAGAGCAGCATTGACCTCTCTGCTGTATATTTTTACCACTCTGACTTCCTTCTGTACTTTTTCAATTAGTAAACCTTGTTTGATTTGCCCAAACTAAGGTCCGTGTTTGTTCCTTGAATCAATCTGCATTCTCCAGAGAAACAGAACCAATAGAACGTATATGCATGTATATATCCCTATATGTCTCTATGTATCTATGTATCTATCTGTCTATCTATCTATCTATCTATCTAGATTTACTATAAAGAATTGGCTCAGCTGGGTGCAGTGGCTCACACCTATAATCCCAGCACTTTGGGAGGCCAAGGCGGGTGGATCACGAGATCAGGAGATTGAGACCATCCTGGCTGACACAGTGAAACCCCATCTCTATTAAAAATACAAAAAAAAATTAGCTGGGCGTGGTGGCGGGTGCCTGTAGTCCCAGCTACTCGGGAGGCTGAGACAGGAGAATGACATGAACCCGGGAGGTGGAGCTTTCAGTGAGCCGAGATCGCGCCACTGCACTCCAGCCTGGGAGACAAAGCGAGACTCTGTCTCAAAAAAAAAAAAAAAAAAAAGAATTGGTTCATAATATGATTATGGAGGCTGAGAAGTCCAGACGCAAGAGGCTGATGGTATAGTTAAATTTTGAGACGAAAGGCCTGAGAACCAGGAAAGCTGATGCTGTAAGTTCCATTTCAAGTCTAACTCTGAAAACCAGGAGAGTCAATGGTGTAAGTTCCAGTCTGAGTCCATGTCTGAAGGCAGGAGAAGACCAATGTCCCAGCTTGAAGACAGTCAGAGACACAAAAAAATTCTTTCTTACTCATCCTTTTATTTTATTTAAGTTTTCATCAGGTTGGATGAGAGCTCAGTCTCCTGATTCAAATGTTACTATCATCCAGAAATGACATATTCAGAAAAAACATTTAACCAAATACCTGGGCATCTTTGTTGCCCGGTCAACTTGACTTACAAAATTAACTATCATATAGTTACCCTACTATTGACATTTACCAATTCAGTGGTTACCTATAGCTAACTGCTTTAGACCAGTGCTGGACCACCTTGAAGCTGGAGCTGGCGTCAGTGCCTGCCTAAACCACATAGCAGTTCTACAGTGGACCAGGGCTGAAATTGATGCTGAGGGAGGAGATCACAATGTCTACTCATTTTCATTATCTTTTCAACTTCTAATGGATATTTCCTTTGCTGTGGCAGAGATCAT
The DNA here is from genome assembly GCF_000001405.40 of Homo sapiens. NCBI lineage: Eukaryota > Metazoa > Chordata > Mammalia > Primates > Hominidae > Homo > Homo sapiens. The sequence continues at coordinate 138,439 of NT_187605.1, read as the reverse complement.
TATTGTCTTCCTTTAGCAAATGAGAGAACTGAGATCACACTTTTACATTTGGAATTATTTATCAGTCTAAAAGAGATTATTTGTTCACATAAAGAGCATTTGGAGGTGTGAGAAATGTAACTGAAGCCAGCATGCCATAAGAAAGTGGTTTGATCTGTGCCTCATGGAGACTCAGGGCTTCCCCAAGGTATCTGAGAGCTGAGATGGACAAGGAGTGGGTGAGGTTATGGATTCCCACCCTGCTTCAATCACGGTGCTTCTTTCTGAGATGTTTCATATATATTGCAGTTATGCATGCAGAATTCCATTTAGATCTAAGCTGTCACCACACAGGTTGAAAACCACTACTCCATCCTAGCTCTACGATCTTAAAAACAAAAATCCCTTCCTTTTTTTAGTGCTCATTTCCCTTTACTTGTAAAATGAATGTGTTGAACTACGAGTTCTTGAAGGTTCCTTCCATCTTTGACAGTTCATGATTTTGTGACTTTTACCATTGCCAAGGTGGAACTTATTAATTTCATGAAAACTGACTAAATGACTATCTCAGAAGTTATTAACTCAGCACAGCTTCCTCATCTTAGTGAGTTTTCAGCTGGCTAATGCCACCTGACAGTCAGAAAATGCCAACATTGCGGGTGTGGGGTGGAGTTAACAGTGTGAGATTTGCTAAGTGTTTCTACGCAATCATTGTGAAAGCAATCACATTTCCAGAGTGAGAAAGGTCAGTGCCATCTAGCTGCCAAACTTCACCACACTAAGGGGACATGAAGGGGACTGCCACCCGCAGAACACAAATCAGGCTAAAAAATGAATACCTTTTGCAGTTGCAGTCAAATAGCAACAAATGTCAAATGATATTACTTTGGGAGATTGTTAAGCCCCCTTCTCAGTGCACAGCAGTGTATAAATCCCCTCATCTCATTTGATTAATCTGAGAGACTATAGAATATGTTACTAGGACAGAAAACATGACTGCAATGTGATAGTCTAGTATTACTGAGCATGAAAATTCCTTTAAGTCCTGATCTTTTTTTCTAGTTCCACACTGTTTGAAAGTGGGGGAACATTGATCTTAGTGAATGAGTGTCCTATATAAATCAATGTTAGTGAGTATATATATAAGTGAAAAATATGATTTGTTTATACAGTGAACCAGAACCCCCCCTTCTACAGCATCAGAACTCTTTCTTTTACTCTCTCTTTTACAACCTGTAACTTGGCAGGAAGGAGATATAATACTAGCCATGTTTATCTCTAGCTGGTAAGATTACAAGTGATTTTTAACATTCTGTTATATCTTATACTTTTTTATAGTGGGCACATATTATAACAAGAATTACCTTTATTCATGTAAAAGTGATCCCTTTCCCCAGAAAGATCCCTGAGAATACTTTTTCTCCCATCCTAAAATGGAGGAATGTACCTGAAATGCCATGTGAAATAGATTAACTGAGCCCTGCCTAGGAAACATGCCGCTTCTTCTTTTTCAAGACCTGCAGTCATTGTGGCCTGACAAGCAGTAAGAAATGTGATAATAAAGAGGATGAGCCACTGCAGGGCTGGATTTCATTTCTAGCTTAATTAAATCCTAGAAACACACCTGAACTCTAGCTTTGATGAGCTGCTGCCAAAGCCAGGTGCCCTCATCAACTCGGGCTCACCCTGCAGTGATTGTGGGAAGCCAGCCTGAAAGGAGAGGGTAGAGGGAAGCAGAAGCCAATGGAGATGAAACAGTGGAGTCAGGAAGCAATATTTCAGAGAGAGCGATTTTATCTGGTAGACTATCTGTTTGCCCTTCTGCTTAAAAGGTAAACAGCAACGCTAACCTACAAATATACTGAATTGAAACTCCTCCAATGGCACCCCACTGCCCTGCCACCTGTCCCCTTCCACCACCTCCTCTCCAGCTCCCTGCCCCCACCAGTTGTGGTAAATTGGGTACAAAGTGCACTTGGTTGGCACAAGTCCTGACTGGCCCATCAGTAGGCGTGGGCTGATTGGCGCCTCCTGCATTTACAAACTCCTAGTTGCTCTAGTCCCTCAGCTGCTGCTGACACCTGATGGTGCTACCTGGGGTCTCTTTGTTTCATATCCCAGAGACCAGAAATTCTCTTGAAATGTAAAGAAGAAAAAAAATCCTTGCCATGATTTATTGAACCCAGAATTATACAAGGAACTTAAAACTACATCACCTTGTTTTCACAGCCACTTGTGATGTATTATCAGGGTTTTACAGGTGAGGAAATGCAGCTCCAGAAGAGCTTCTTAGGTAACTGGCTTATATCCAAGAGCTTGACACAAGGATCTGGGTTTATGGGATTTTTTGAGGGGGTGCTATCAAAAGAAACCTCCAGGGAGGCATGGGGTGGGAGAGAAAAGGGGAAGGGTGAGCAGGGGTTTGGTCTCTGATATGGTTTGACTGTGTCCCCATCCAAATCTCATCTTGAATTATAATTCCCATCATCCCCACGTGTCAGAGGCAGGACCAGGTGGAGGTCATTGGATCATGGGCGTGGTTTCTCCCATCCTGTTCTCGTGATAGTGAGTAAGTCTCATGAGATCTGTTGGTTTTATAAGCACTTGGCAGTTCTGCTGCTTGTACTTACTCTGTCCTGCCACCCTGTGAGGAAGGTGCCTGCTTCTTCTTCACCTTCTGCCATGACTGGAGGTTTTCTGAGGCTTCCCCAGCAATGTGGAACTGTGAGCCAATTAAGCCTCTTTTATTTATAAATTACCCAGTCTCAGGTATTTCTTCATAGCAGTGTGAGAACAAACTAATACAGTCTCAGTATGCGATGGAGTGCCCAGATTTGGGGGTCCAGGGAAGGTTTCCATCTGAGAAGGGGTCAACCAGTATTGAGAGTGTATCACTGAGCAGAAAGTACCATCCTTTCCCCCACTACCATCTGTCAACAACTTCCTTGTCTTTCAAGAACCATCTCTTTTTTTTTTTTTTTTTTTTTTTTTTTTTTTTTTTTTTTGAGACGGAGTCTCGCTGTGTCGCCCAGGCTGGAGTGCAGTGGCGCGATCTCTGCTCACTGCAACCTCTGCATCCCGGGTTCATGCCATTCTCCTGCCTTAGCTTCCTGAGTAGCGGGGACTACAGGCGCCCGCCACCACGCCCGGCTAATTTTTTATATTTTTAGTAGAGACGGGGTTTCACCGTGTTAGCCAGGATGGTCTCGATCTCCTGACCTCGTGATCCACCCGCCTCGGCCTCCCAAAGTGCTGGGATTACAGGTGTAAACCACGCGCCCGGCCTCATATTTTATCTCCTATGAAGTCTCTTGACCCCAACCTGTGATGATGTCCTTTCCCGTTTGGTTTTCGAGCACTTTATACCTTCAAAATGGTTGCCTAATTTTTAGAAAATAAGAGCATATCTATCTTCTTGACTCAAATGTGAGCTTCTTGAGGGAAGAAATCTTGCCTTCTTTCATGTATAACACCCCTGCATTGTACACAATGCTTTGTCCATAGTAGGCTACGAACTAACATCTGTTGAGTTCAGTACTCCTTGAATTTGGGGAGCCTTTCCTGGTGCTATTACTTTGGTCAATCAGTCATTCAGCATTAATACAATGTCTATTTGTGAATAGCTCACGGGGCCCTGTGTTGGTGGCTGCCAGTTTCACCTCCTGACCACCTGTCCAAGAGTCTCAGAGTCCACGAAACAGCAACAGGAACGTGAACGTCGAGGTAATTCCAGCAGAGGTTTAGTTACTGGACCAGGAAGAAAGGCAGCTACACGGCGGCGGGGGTGGGGGGGGGGTGGAGGGGACGTAGAAGAAACAGGTTTATTAGAATCAGGCGGCTTGAAGCACCACTCATTAGTCAGTTTGTGCAGCTATAAAATGGCACAAAGGTGCTGCCTGGCTGAACTTACGGAGCTATTGTTGAGAGTCAAAGGAGACAAGATAGGTTAACTCTACAGATTGTGCAGAGAAAATTAATACATGTTTATAACCAATGTTGGCTAAGAGGCAAGGATGGCAGGAAAAACGGCTTGGAATCCCTCCCTGATACTCAGGTGGCGTAATTTACCTTCACCTGTGTGTGGACTCAGACTTCAGTGCCTCAGGGGAAAAAAAGAGAAAAAGGAAAATCAGTGTTCCTTTCTCTTTGCCTCCTGACTTTAGGTATCTATGTATGCTATAATTAGGGCCCCAGATTACATCTCCAATTTCAGAAAGTTTCCTGTTTAATTTTACAAGGACATACACACTTTACAATGCCTGACACCTGCTTAAGGAGGCAAATGATTGTTTTGACAGTGTGACAGTGGTAGAAAGTATATTAAAATATCGGAAACCTGCCAATGGGATAATTAGGATCTAATTCTCATTTGTCAGTGCAATGAGCTCTCCAGGCCAAATGACTCCCTGATGCTGTGCCAGACAGCTTTCCTGGTCCCCATGTGCTGGTGGAGATTTAGTTCCAAATAATTGTTGCATTCCTCATTGATGACTGATTTTCAACCTTTAATGATAATACCAATTATGTATTGGGTGTTTCACTTGTGGATTTCTTTGGGTGGGGATTTTACTACAACTCATTGCTTGAAAAATCACTTTAATTTAATAGTAGGGTTATTCAGAACTTCACTATCCAGAGTGACCCTGTGGCTGACCCAAGGCTGTGGGGCATAGGGCACAGAACTGGTACTCCTCTTCTGGGAAAAGGTGGCTAGGGAAGGAGGGATGGCCTAAGACACTGAATCCAATGAAGCAGATAAAGAGCAAATCCAGGACATGAGGCAAAGGATCAGTAAGAGAAGTGGCCAGAAGCACCATCTTGTTTCTTTGGGTCAGATTTAGCAGAGATCTTGGAAATTCTGGGGGCAGAGAAGATGGTGTTGTTTCTTTCTTGGACTGCCGGGGCTGCACTGCTGAACCATAAACTTGGGCGCTGTTAAGATGCTCAAGCCAGGCAGCCTTCCGCAGCCTTCCACATCCCTAGACTTGCTCAGGGTCTCCAAAGAACATCTGTTATGTTTCTATCATCTTGTGGATGAGGAAACTGAGAATCAGATTAGTGAAGTGGCCTGTTCCAGCTCACACAGCTCAAAAATATTCAGTCCAGGCAAAGTTTACTCTGCTGGATCTTCCAGGTGACACAGAAAAATGCTCCAGTGTCTAGTCAGCTGCCAAAAACCTTTTTTCACATCCTACTCAGACTTGTGATTAGATGAATATTGAAATGTCTTTAAGATCTATAATTTCTTTTTCAAGGGGTATGTCTTAAATCTTGTCTACCCACGTGGACTAAATTGATCATTGACACAGAAGGCTGGATTTTATTCTTGTTCATTTTACAGATGAGGAAACAGATCCCAAGAGGTGAAAGTGGCCTGCTTAACGTCACATGACTGGTAACTGATTCAGTGCAGTCGAGAACTATGAATTGGTCCATGCGTGTATGATTATACTGGACTTTCTAGGTACACAGAGGGAGTTAATGAAGGCATTTGTAAGCCACTTAGGGAGGCAAGGTTTTGTTAGCTACTCCTCTCCTATCAGGCAGAGGCTGGTACCTAGGAGAGGGGGTAATGGAGGGCTGAGCTATCTCTTTCCTGGGTCCTGGGATTGCACTATGTGGAACAGGTAGACACAAGGGGAAACTGCTCTGAAGGTGACAGAAACATCAGAGTTAAGACAGTAACAAATGAGAGGTTGTCCAAGGGGCAGAGGAAGAACAGAAGCCAGGTGAAATGTTTATACACACAGAAATTTAAATGCAAACAGTGCAGAAGCACATACAATGAAAATCAACTGTTCCTTGTCCCATCCCTTTTCTCCTCTGACCCACTTCCCACAGATGAGCCCTTTCTGCTTTTAATTCTTCCAGTGGTTACCTATATAATTCTAAATAGTATGTGAAATCTTTGTTTCTCCAATTATTAATTTTAAACATCAGTTATAGACTCCCTGTTATGAGTGATAAAGAACTGTCTTCTCCCATTTTCTCTTCCCTCATCCTATTTTTTATATTATTAGTTCGGGTTCTTCTATTGGTATGTTAATAGTTGTAAAAAGTATACATCAAATGCTACATCTTGATCCATTAACTTGAAACAAATTTGATTTGCTGCTATGAGAAATGTAAGATGAAATTAGAAGCCCTGAATTTTCACTTTTCCTCTTACCAATTCTCAAAGTCTTCCAACAACATCATTAAACATCATCAAGGTTTATTACTTTTTCATTCTATTTTATAAATATGCTTTGCCTGTAGCTTGAATTCAAAAATCAAGCACCAATGCAAGTCATTAGCAATATAATGATTATATATTATTCACCCCAAGACCAAATAGAGTGACTTGCCCTTCTGAGATGAGAAATAGCACAGAGCATGTGCAGCTTACAGCCAATGCTTTCTCAACACCCAAACTTATTTCAATTTGCTTCAGCATCTCAAAAACATGACATATGAATTTGCTTCATATTTGTAGCTTTTTGTATAGATTTTGTTTTTGTCCAAAGTTTCTAATTTTCTTTCATTTTTCTTATGGAAAAGAAACAAATTCTTCACCATTTTACAAAGATGTTCCTGCTTCATCACATTACCTATCAAATTGGAATCTACTTTTTTTTTTTTTTTTTTTTTTTTGAGATGTAGTCTCGCTCTGTCACCCAGGCTGGAATACAATGGCATGATCTCAGCTCACTGCAACCTCCGCCTCCTGGGTTCAAATGATTCTCCTGCCTCAGCCTCCCCAGTAGCTGTGATTACAAGTGCCTGCCACCATGCCCAGCTAGTTTTTGTATTTTTAGTAGAGGCGGGGTTTCACCATGTTGGCCAGACAGATCTCGAACTCCTGACCTCATGATCTGCCCACCTCGGCCTCCCAAAGTGCTGGGATTACAGGCATGAACCACCGCGCCCGGCCCTGGAATCTACTTTTTAATGGAGACTTTTTTCTTGGAACTCGATCTAAATGTTGTTGGGGCTTTTTATTTGTCACAGCCAATTGCATAGTTCTGTCTCTGGTTTTTATTTTCAAAACTAGTCACTTTGGCCTACTGTTTTCATGGTTTCTGTTTTATTTGTTTTTGTTTTTCTTTTGGTCTCAAGTTTATCCTCAAGTATTTTTTTCCCCCTCAGGGTGTATAAGGAGACATCTCTGAGTCTCACATGATTTAATATTCAGCCTTCACATTTGAGTAACAAGTTTTTGTCTAAGACTAGAGATTTACGGTTACTTTTCCTCCAGAGCATTGAAGCCATTTGCTGCAGGTTGAGTTCTCCAGAAGTAGAGATGGAGTTTAGGGAACAAAATATTTATTAAGGATCAACACCTGTGAAAGGAAGGCGGCAACAGCAAGATTGGGCTGACTGAGCAGTTGAACTGAAACACAGGCTTGAAAATGCCTCAGCCGACATGGCAGGTGCTCTGGGTCATGGGTATGCATAATACCCATGGATATTATTTGCTGGGCAGAAATGGTTGAACCTTTATGCCCTCCTTCTCTCTGACACCAGATACAGGCTGCTCTGGGAAGGGAATGACCTTGGGAGAGGTGGCTGAAGCTGACCCTGAAGGAGCTGACAGCTGGAGGCTCTGCTCACTGTAGTCCATGCATCGGGTAGCAGGTGTTCCTTGAAAGGGGATCAAGGTAGTGCATCTCTATGTCTACCATAGCAATGATCCATGGTATTCTTATAAAAATCCGTTTTTTAAATTTTTCGCTTTCTCTATAAGATTTAGGACACTTTATTTTCCCTTGGCGGTAGGGTTGCTGTTATGACATATTTATGTGGAGTACAAAAAGTGTCCTTGCTCTAGGTGGGTGCAGCTCTGCACCAGAGAGCCTGGCTTGGTAAGTGTGGGTTGGATTTGATCTCCACTCAACCCTTTGGCTGGGAGCTTTTGCGCAGAGTAAAGCCTGTACATCCAGAGGCATAGCCCTGCTTGGTGTGCTCATGGTTTATGAGGATGTGTCCTTCTCATTTTGCTCAGCATTTGGTGGGCCTGGGCCTTTCATCCCAAGTGTTTGGGACCTTAGTTCTGGGAAATTTCCTTCTTTCCTTCTTGCTGTCTGTAAGTTCTGTGGGTCATAGCAGTTAACAGGTTTCACTTAAAGGCATGAGGCAGAGTATGTACACAAGTGAGGTTACTCTCTCAATACAGCTTCCTCATCCTGTTTTATCTGTCGATATGATTCCATATGTTTTCTCTCTCCCATTACTTTGCTAAACTTTCAGATCTGCTGGTGCTTCTTCTGTCCTCCCCATTGTTGGTGCTAATATGGATTTGTTCACTTTTTAACTTCTTTATTACAATCATTGGAATTTTAATGGGACTTTTAATGGAATGTTGTAGAGAGATAACTCCATGCATTCAATCTTCTATTCTGAACAGAATGCTTGTCTGGTATTACTGGTATTATGAATAACAGTTGACTGAAAACAGCAATGGCTTGAGGTCTTTTGTCAGTTTCGGCTTTAGAAGTGGTGTTCTAACTGGAAAGAGGTGAGAGGAAATGTATTTTGAAACTCTTCGCTTGTAGTAGGTTCACTGTTTTTATTTAGGGTATATGAGTACTTGACACGCATGACTTGAGGGTTATTGGAGGCTATGGAAGGTCAAAAGTCACTCATCCCAAGGTGCCACTATTGTTTAGAAGAGATTTTACTGAGTCAACAATTGTTAGATGGATGCTGGCCTCCTTAAAGATGGCTCATCTCTCTTGAGGAAGGGGTTAGGGAAGAATGGAAAGACAAGTAATTTTCTTCATTTTTATTTAACTGTTTTCACAGAGACAACACTGTACAGACAACGAAATGTGTTTTATGCCAGATTTCTCATGCAACATGCCCCGGTAAATACACATACAAGTTATTTCTAGCAACATCCTGAAATTAGACCCTTAAAATGGCTCTTTCTCCCTTCCTTTCATAAAGGCACTTGTTATGGACAGAATTGTGTTCCTATAAAATTTATATGTTGAAGCCCTGACTGACTTGGAGACAGAGCCTTTACAGTGATAATTAAGATTAAATGAGGTCATCAGGATGAGGCTCGAATCCATTAGGACTAGTGTCTTTATAAGAGGAGAAAGACATGAGAAACCACCAAAGGCTACTCAGCTGCATGCAGGCAGAACGTGAAAAGTATGATGGCGTTAACTTCCCTGAGAGCAAACCTCATCTCAACCACTCTGGCCTCCCATTCCCCCAGTGGAACAGTGCTGAGATGAGTTCCATGTGGTTTCATAGCAGGCCCCTGGTACATTGAGCCCTTGTTGCCTACAGTGGTAAACAACTCAGAAATGTACTCTTTACTGGCTTTTCTTCCTTCTCTGTCTTATTTTCACTACTCCCTCAATTTCACATCCTCTCAAATAAACCACCTGCACTCAAGTCTTTGCCTCAGCTCTGCCTTTGGGGGAATCTGAACTCAGCACTCTTGCTGAAAGTAAGCTGTGCTTTAGTCCACAGTCTTCTCTCCACCTGTTCACCGTTCCACCCTCCACCCTGTAGGGAACACTCCTATCCATCTTTTCAGTCCCTTGGTGAACACTTCTGTTGTTTTCCTAAGTAACCAGTATAAATCCTTCTTTGTCATCCTCGTTGCACTTCCATGTATTGTTCCTCTTATCTCACTGTCCTGAGATTGTTTTCATCTCTGCCTTCCCCTGGGATTTCTGAATCAGCATCAAAGAATCCTGGAAGTACCTAACAGGACATGTAACTGCCCCTAAGTCATGAGCTCCTGTTGGTAGAAACTATAACTTGTTTGTTTTTGAATCTCAATACTATCTCACACCATATTGGCATAGAGGACCCAATAGATGATAGTTGGACAGAAGTAAAGTCACTCTGCAGGGCAGAGGCACAAGCTCAGAGAGAATTTATTTCCTCCCCATCTTTTCTCCTGGAAGTCCTCCTTCTCACAGTGTTCCTGCTCCCTGGCACTGAGCTGAGGTATGCAACGAAACCCATGGGACCTGTCTGTATAATGGAGATGCATACACCCTCCAGGCCTTTGCACATAGGCTAGGTCCCTGTAGCACATCTGGAGGACAGGGTCACTGAGGCCTGGCTTAATTTAGCTGAGCCACTCCAGGAGGAATAATGGTAGCACTGAAAGTCTACTTTTCTGCCCATTCTGTTAACATCCTGCTGGCCTGCTTTCTGGGGCTCTTGACTTTGTAGCAACCAAAAGACCTTTTCAGAGACTTGGGGCCTGATCAAGACCATTGAGCAAACCCTCCTTCCCTTTACCAGTGGAGCAATCAGAAGGGTGAAGGGCCTGGAAGAGCAATAGAGCATCAAACCAATTGGAGTTCAATTACTGGCCCTGCCATGTAATGGCAGAATAAGCTTGGGGTCGTCATTTAACTTCTTTAACACTCAATTTTTTTTTCCACCAGTGAAAGGAGAACAAGAAAACTTATAGCATCATTGTGATGGTTAAAGTAACATATTTAAAATGTCTTTCATGGGGATTTCAATCTTTTATTGACCATATTTGTTGGCAGTCTAGTGAAGGCTATGGGCTCCTAGAACAAGTACTTGAAACTCATAAAACAAAATATGTGGAATTACAAAGGTAACACTATAATACATTTATCAAAATGTTTTTTTAAAATGTGTGTTAGAATGTAATATGTTTCTTTGTTCATGTATTAAAAATTAAGAGATTAAGCTGAGGGTCTGATAACTACGATAATTTTGAGGTAAAGAAGCACATAAATGATATTTTGATTTACCTGCCAAACTGTAACACTGTACATGAAAATATCTCATTTCTATTGTTGGCAAAATCACATTGTGGGTTTATAACCTACATTTGTAAATGAAGAAAATGCCAACTACTTGTTAAAGAGTGAAAATAAAGATGAATTTTATTCCTTCCAAGTTGATGGAACCCTGAACCTCTTGCTTAATGAAAAAACAAACACTTGATAGTAGTTAATTCCCTTTCTTCTAATTTTCTCTTTCTGATGCCTCCTCTTATATACTGTTTTCAAATTTTTTTACGTCTTCCTAACCAAACATGACCCGAGGAAAGGGTCTGACATCAGACATTTGGCCTATGGGGTGGATAAGTGTGTATTTCCTTGCTTTCCTTCTCAAGAGCTTTCCTCATTGTGAAAGAAGCGGAAGGAATTTCAGCATAGGAGCAAGGTGGACCTCCCCAGCCCCCAGGAAAAAAAGTCGTATCACAAAGGGAGCAGATGAAATACTTTCCCAAACTTCGGGCTAGTGTCAAGGATCAGCTGTCGACTTGATTTCTAACCACTATCCTGGGTGGCTTGCCTTTCTCCTGAGTGATCAGGGTACAGAAGCCCGGAGAAACAGGACTCTGCTCCTTTTGGTCCTGCTTTGGTTCCTGCTCTGTTCCTGCTGTATTAGGGTGAAAGCCCATTGAGTGTGTCTCTTCCCAACTCTGTTCCATGATGTCTTATTTGTAACTTGAAACAAGCGTGGTGGGAGCATTTACACCATGGAAATTGGCACATGATACACATCAAGGCTTCTCACCTCTAATTAAAATCTTTCCTGCATCTCAGTGGAAAGCCAGTTGTGAGACATTTGTCAGTGCATCACTGCCTGTACCTTCTGCTTCCTGTTTGGTAATTCTGCTTTGACAAAATTGGTCATTCTTTCTGTTTACCACTCTCTGGTGCATGCACATTTTTGTATCCCCAGAAAGGGACTTTCTATACTTTTAGTGTTCCCTGATTTTGCACTGGAGTCAGCAGATGACAACAATTTTTCTCTTTGCCAAAACCTAAAAGAAGGACCCCACTTCCCTGCTTGGTGAGAGGGTTTTCCTTGTTCATGGTTTTCTGTCATTGAGGCTAAACAAGCAGGAGCCATTATAACTTGTGATAAGAAACCATAAAAAGTACAGGTGATTTAGGATAAATGCATCTGACAGGGGTGTCAAGCAGGAGTCAGCAACTTTCTCTAAAAGGGCCAGATAGTACATACTTTAGGCTTTGCAAAAGACACAAAATGATATTATGTAGGTGCTTATATAACTGTTTAAAACATAACCATGTAAAACTATTCTTAGCTTATCAACTATGAATAAACAGGCATTGGTCTATGAATAAACTGTTTGGCATTGGTCTGTGGGCTGCAGTTTTCTGATTGCAGTGGAAGTCTGACTGTTGTGGAAGACTGACCTGGGGGATGAGCAGTAAGGCAAGGTGGTCAGGTAGGAGGGTGGTAGATAAAAAAGACCAGGACAAAGTCTTGGATGGTCACAGTGGGGAAGAAGGAAGGAGGAGGAAGAAACTAGAGGGAACTTAAATATCTGATTGGATACGATGGATAAGTGAAAGATGAAGCAAATGTGATCTGGAGAGCTGGCTGCAATTTGTAACGTTGTCTTTGGGATTCACAAACATATTAGGATATTAAAAGCTTTGAAAATTCCTGCAGCAAGTAAATCTGTCTGCTCAGTCCAGCATTTCTCAAAGTTATTTATATATTGTACCCTTCATTCATGGACTACCTACTAATGCCCCCAGTGAAGTAACGTATCATGGAATGTACTTTAGGTTTCATGGGCTTGCTCTATAGTTGCGTAATCCATGTTGTAAGAGTGTGTGTTCCTTGAAAAGAGAGTTAACAAATTTACCATTTGTGTGCGTGTTTGTGGGGGAGGGTTATGAAATATGAAATACAACTCCTGTGGAAGGTGGTATATTACAAATTAATGTAATCTGAATGGCTGGAAGAATTACGCAGAGATTCAACAGGCCAGATTGGTTTAATAGTTTTTAAGTTATGGATATAATTAATGAAAATTGAGAGTGCTAATAGTTGTTTTTAAACTATTTTAAACTAAAAACAACTACAGTTTTGTCTTGTTTTTTAATTATACTTTAAGTTTTAGGGTACATGTGCACAACGTGCAGGTTTGTTACATATGTATACATGTGCCATGTTGGTGTGCTGCACCCATTAACTCGTCATTTAGCATTAGGTGTATCTCTTAATGCTATCTATCCCTCCCCACTCCCCCCATCCCACAACGGGCCCCGGTGTGTGATGTTCCCCTTCCTGTGTCCATGTGTTCTGATTGTTCAATTCCCACCTATGAGTGAAAACATGCGGTGTTTGGTTTTTTTGTCCTTGTGATAATTTGCGGAGAATGAAAAAACAGTAAATTCACGTGGCCCTTTAAAACCTTCATTTTCTTTTCTTTTTTTATTTTTCTTTTATTCTCTCTCTCTTTTTTAAAATTTTAAGTTCCAGGGTACATGTGCAGGATGTGCAGTTTTGTGACATAGGTAAACGTGGACCATGGTGGTCTGCTGCACCTATCAACCCATCACCTACGTATTAAACCCAACATATATTAGCTATTTTTCCTAATGCTCTCTCTCCCGCTTCCCTCTCCCCCACAGGCCCCAGTGTGTGTTGTTCCCTTCCCTGTGTCTATGTTAAAACCTTCATTTTCAATCTTTTCAGTATGGTTCTTTTATTTATCTGTCTTTGAATCCTCCTTAACAAAATTAATTGTTCCTTTTTTATTTATTTATTTTATTATTATTATTATTATTATTATTATTATTTTAGATGGAATCTCGCTCTGTCGCCCAGGCTGCAGTGCAGTGGCACAATCTCGGCTCGCTGCAAGCTCCGCCTCCCGGGTTCACGCCATTCTCCCGCCTCAGCCTCCCGAGTAGCTGGGACTACAGGCGCCCGCCACCACGCCCAGCTAATTTTTTGTATTTTTTAGTAGAGGCGAGGTTTTACCATGTTAGTCAGGATGGTCTCGATCTCCTGACCTTGTGATCCACCTGCCTTGGCCTCCCAAAGTGCTGGGATTACAGGCGTAAGTCACCGCACCCAGCCCATTTTTTTGTTTCAAAAAAATTTTTTTTCTAAGATACTTTTGTTATAGCATACTCCTTTCTTTTTAAAAAATCCACAGCAATTTTTATATATCTCTTTTAGCACTTCAGATTGCATAGGGTTTATCTGGGTATTCTCATGGTTTGTTGGACTAAATTAGTAGAAGACACTTATATTTCTTTTCCCAGTCCTCAGCAGAATGCCAGACATATCGTATGTTCTCTTGGATTAATAAATTAATAAAAGTTTTGGGAAAGTGACCATTCCAACCTATATCTGAAATACAAATAAAGTTAGATCCTGTATCCATCAAGGTCCAATCAGGAAAACAGAAACCATTCCAGTTATTTTAACAGGGATAATTTAATATAGGGAATCGAATTGCTAAACAGGTATTTAGAAAACTATAACTCCAGAAAGATATGCAAACTACAGGAAATATCTTCCACCGTTAGAACAGGGGAGCAAAGGGTAGAGTGGATTAGTTGAACCTAGAAGCTTGGATGAAGAGCCCCATAAAGTTGAGAACAAGACCACGGAGCAGGAGGTGCCACCTGGCTGGTGCTGGTGTCTCTGCAGGGACTCCAATGAGGCTGATTCTGGAAATTAGAAAAAAAAAAAAAAAAGACCTAGACCCAAATGCTGCTGCTAGGGTGAAGAACTATTGCTGAGGGGATGTTGACAGACACAGAAAGCAAAGAGCAAGGGGCAAATCCCTTTGCCATCCTCTAGGTTTGCAGTCTTCCTCTAATACCCTTTATTGGCAGAGCCTAACAGGAAACCAGATGGCAAAGGATAAATTTTATTTGTGGAGTCCAGCCTCAAAATCATGTAACAGAGTAACAGGTGAGTGGGTGGTGCTAAGATACAGTAGCTTAATAACCAGCCTAGTTCCCAACCTACATGTATAGTCAATTTCCAAGTGGCCTGACTCTGGATGACTCAAGAGGGCTTTTCCTCCTCCCAAGAGCTATTATAGTCACAGGTATATTTTTGAATCTTTCCTTTTTTTCTTAGACAGCAGAAGCTGTTCATTTTAGTAGAGAATATCATGGTTGTAATTGCATTTCTCTTATAACTCAGAAAGGGTTAAATAAAGAGAAAAGATATTTTGGCAAAGAGCAAAACTATTTGGCAACTTGTTCTAAAGGGTTTTTCAGCGTCCCTAGATTCAGCTGTTTCTAATCCTGTGATTATATGCTTCAATTTCCCATTTTAAGTACCAGAGATTAAGTGGTAACTCCTTTATTGCTGATGGCGGTGCTTAGTGGACAGCTGGGGGATGACAGGGCTGTGTGCTGAATCCAGATGCACAAGAAACAACAGGAAAGGGGCACTCTGACCGTCCAATGGCCCTGTCTCCTGAGGGGGGGTAAGGTGAGGCTTCTGTTTAGATGTCTCAGTGGTCACTGCAGAATCAGCTTTTTCTTTTCTTTTTCTTTTCTTTTTTTTTTTTTTTAACAGATTAAACAGTTCCAGTGTGGAAGTCTGACTTAGGGCAATGTGTGTAGTGTGAGGAAAAAGGATGACAGCTGGTTTTGAATCCAGCTCAGTCACTTGCCAACTGGGTGGCCCTGAGTAGTCACTTCACTCAACTCTTCACTTTATCATTGATAATAACTACCTGTCCTGTCCTCTTATTTGGCTCACTTTGAGGATCAAAAGAGATACGACTAAATATGAAAACATATTGCAAAGAGTAAAATGAAATAAAAACAAGGAATCGATCATGATGGTGTTGGGCTATTTCAGTTTGCTTGGTTTTTGACTCAGAAGCATGAGAGAAATACATTATCCCCAACAATTCCTTTCTGTTATAAAAAAGTTACAGTGTGTACCTTTCTGGGCTTGTGTTGTGTATTTACTTCCACATAAATGTTTATCTCTAAAGTTATCAATAAAGCTCCCAGTGTGGAAGTGAAAATAAACCCAGAAAAAATATCTTTGTATTCCCAGGCCAATTCAGTTTTCATTATTTATTATATTCAGTTTTTCTTGAGGCCAAAATGGAGTAGAAATCTCTAAAAAATTTAGTTTGAATCTAGAGTCAACTAATAATAATACTAGTTAAAGCAGTAATAGCATTTATTACATGCTTGTGTGCTGGAAACTTTTAAGCATCTATACTGTGTTGCCTCCTTAAAATAACCCTATGAGGTAGATTTTGTTTTTATTGTCATTTAATATAAGGAAATGAAGGCATAATAAAACTCGCCTAAGGTTACAGATAGAAAATAATGGAGTAGGGGTTTGAACCCACATAACGTGATTTCTAAGTCTGAACCTTTAGCTACTCTATTATATTCAAGAAACACTCCTTGTTTAATTATTTGTATAAATTAAAGTTGTCTCTCAATGGCTTTTATTTGTTACGTAGAAATATCATTTATTAAGCACATACAAGGTGCTGGATAGGATTCTAAGCATTCTCTATGCATTATCTTATTTAATTCTCACAAAATTTTATTATTCTTAGAAACTAAAGTTCAGATAATTTAAGCAATTTGCTCAGTCAGGTTCACACTTTTAACAAGTACTGAAGCTGATATTTTAGTTCAAGTCTACATGACTGTCAAATCTCTTCAAGCAATAAGTTACGTATCTCTTTGCTAACAATATATATTCTTCCTGTTTCTCATGGAGGCATCCCTCAAACTTCTCCAAACCTCAGTGTAAAGCTCAAAACAATGGAAAAGCTGAAATAAAGCTAAATGAAGATCAGAAATCATGCAGTGTCAGCAGTAGGAATATATACTAGGAGTCTGGAGTGAGGGGTAATGAAATGGAGCCTAATGCTCAAACTTTGAAATTCTTAAAAGACAAGACAGAAAAAGGGAAATCCAATGGTTTGTCTAGTTATTATTGTCAGACGAAAACACATAGACCAGTTGTGTAGAAGACATAAACTTCCCCTGACATTCAAAGCCAAGAGAAATTTATCATGAGAAGTCTTATATTTGGACAACAGTTATAGTATATAGGGAATTTCTGCCATAAACAGCATGGTGTAAATGAATACTTGGTGAAAGATATCAATTAGAATTTATACCATATGTGAGACAAGGCATTTCCAAAGTGCATTTGCAGGAGAATGTGTTGTATTCATCTCTGACATCCTTATCAGAACTCACATTCTAGTGAAACATATCAATTAATGTCCTCAGATCTGTTATAATAACAACATGGAAAATGGATTTACCAACCTCACAGAAACAACTGAATGTATGTGCCAAGAATGAATCTCTTACTTCTTCAAATATCAGAGTAAAAATTTTACAACAAACTTAAAATTTGTTAAACTTCAACTTAATGGATGGTCTCTCTTTCCTTCTTGCAAGGTCTGACTGAGATCTAAGCCTTGCTCATTAATTTATTCATTTAGCATTTAATTTGGTCCCATATTAGTTAAGCCTCAGGCTTGACTAGCACCCAGGTAAATGAAAAAAGGAACAAAAACTTGATCCAGAACGCAGTGGATATCAATGGCTTGTAGTCCTCTCATGGACTTCAAGTGTGACTAAGTCAGCTGAGCCCTTACTTGTTAGTGTTGTGCTGGAACAGACAGAGAGAAAGTAATTGTAAATCATCCAAGAAGTGAGAAAGAGATAGAGATACAATCAGGAGACAAGTCTGAATCTCTGAGATAGACTGGTAATGTCTCAAGGCCACTGAGATAATGATGCCTAGAACTGGGCTTATAAATGCCAATAGCATAACATTCTTGAGCTTGGGACAGTGGTGCTTTAGCAAACAATAACCTCTCCTACTTAGTCCAGATATTTAAATTCCTCATGTGGCATCACTTGATGGATAAAATTGCAAATAAGCAAGTTAAGGATAAATTGAGAGGCCCATTGGATCCTGGCCATGGGTACAGATGTATGATCATGGCCAGGATCTAGGGTTTTGCTCAAATCTGACATCTGTATATCTAAATCTGTTGGTCC
Source organism: Homo sapiens (assembly GCF_000001405.40). Classification (NCBI taxonomy): domain Eukaryota; kingdom Metazoa; phylum Chordata; class Mammalia; order Primates; family Hominidae; genus Homo; species Homo sapiens. The sequence goes on along the minus strand of NT_187605.1, from coordinate 120,668 downwards.
ATCTACACATCCATCCATCCACCCACCCACCCACCCACCCATCCATCCATCTAACAGAATTATATCTACTGATTTCCGAATTAAACCTAGTTAATAGAAATGAAAACTAAATTTAATTTCTTTTTTTTTTTTTTTTTTTTTTTTTTGGTGAGGAGTTTGGCTTTTGTCACCCAGGCTGGAGTGCAATAGCGTGATCTCGGCTCACTGCAACCTCCATCTCCCAGGTTCAAGCGATTCTTCTGCCTCAGCCTCCCGAGTAGCTGGGATTACAGGTATGTGCCACCACGCCCAGCTAATTTTGTATTTTTAGTAGAGACAGGGTTTTGACAGGGTTTGGCCAGGCTGGTCTCGAGCTCCTGACCTCAGGTGATCTGCCTGCCTTGGCCTCCCAAAGTGCTGGGATTACAGGTGTGAGCCACCGGGCCTGGCCAATTTCTTTATAATAATAAAAGGAATGCTCTAGAAATGACATAAAACATAAATAAACTATGCATTCATTATAACTACAATGAACATTTTATTAAAGCATTCTATGTGCCAGTTGCTTTAGTAAGAGCTAGGGAAGGTATAAAGATGATTAAGACTTGGTCCTCACTTTTTAGAACTTGAGGTCTAGTAGCAAGTATTTATGTACACCTCTCTGACCTCGTGTCCTATACTCATCCCTTCACTCATTCCAGTCTAGAGACATTGTTTTCCTTCCTTTTCCTAGGACATACCAAGCATTTCTTGCCTCAGAGCCATTGTACATGCATTTTCTCTGCCCAGAACTTTATTTCCGCAGGTATGTGCAGTTAACTTCCACACTTCCTTCAGCTCTCTGCTCAAATGTCACAAGCTCAGTGAGGTCTTCTTTGAGTATTCTATGTGTGATAGCAAACTCCTCTCATCACTGGAACTCTGTATCTCCACAATTTTCAATTATTTTTCTCCCTAATCACCATTATATATCATATATTCAGTATGTGTATTTTTATGTATCTATACTGTAATATATGTCATATATATTTACTTCTTTTTTTGTTTATTATTTGTCTCACCCAAAACCCCAACTAGAATATATATTCCATGAAAGGAGGGGACTGTTTTACTCAGTACTCTATTCCTGTGTCCACAAAAAAGCTCGGTGAACAGTAGGTTCTCCAGAAATATTGTTAAATGGATAATACAAGAAAGAAAAATAATACTACTAATAACATAAATGACTGCAGTGGGGAAAGAATATTTAATTTGGTTAGGGGACATGGCTTAGGAATCCTTGAATAAAAAGTTATTCCTTTACTTTGAAAAATAAAGTCCACATGTATAGGACAGTTACATGGCTAACTTCCAAGGGAGATTTATCCAGCATTTCAGGAGTCAAGATGCCAGTTAGATGTGATGAATGACCATACGATGCCTGGAAGTTTTTCCATTACCCTTTGAAATTTTTCTGTCTTTTTTTTGGTTGTCTGGGACCATATGGAAACAAATGGGTTTGGCCTCATTTCCAGAACTACTTGGGAAGATCTGTTCCTGCTAACCATGAACTAAATCTTCACAGTGGCCTGTCTGTGCTTGATTCTGTGTTTCTTTTTTTTTGTTTGTTTCTTTTTTTTTTGTGACAGAGTCTCACTCTGTTGCCCAGGCTGGAGTGCAGTGGTGTGATCTCGGCTCACTGCAAGCTCCGCCTCCTGGGTTCACGCCATTCTCCTGCCTCAGCCTTCCCAGTAGCTGGGACTACAGGTGCCTACCACGCCTGGCTAACTTTTTTGTATTGTTAGTAGAGACAGGGTTTCACCGTGTTAGCCAGGATGGTCTTGATCTCCTGACCTCGTGATTCGCCCACCTCGGCCTCCCAAAGTGCTGGGATTACAGCGTGAGCCACCGCGCCCGGCCTTGATTCTGTATTTCTATCCTTACAACCCTGACTACTGATGGGACTCAAACACTGAGTATTTTCCTTGTCACAAAAGCCATCACTCATCAGAGTCTGGGAACAGGGAAGAACTCTAATATCCACTGCAATGGCTCAGCGGAACTAAGACTGCCAAAGAAAACAGGTGTTCAATGACTACCGGAACAAGTTTGAGACAGAGAATCCAAGCTGTGCATGGGCCCATGGGACCACTTTCCTTGTTGTGACTGTGAGTATCAGACAGATAAATTATGACTCTTTGGCAGCCAGAAAAGATTCTTTGGGGCAGCTTTTTATTTCTGTGTTTGTTTAAACAATAATTATTCATTCAGCATCTGACTTGTGCAAAGCTCAGAGAATGACCCAGTCTTGATCTAAACAGAGGGTATCTCTAGTAAGTTTGTGGACTCACCTAAGGTCCAGGAAGACTTCTCTTGAAGATTGTTAATCAAGTAGTAGTGTTTGCAGGAAGGAGAAACTCATTCAAGCAAATTTCATTAAAAGAAAGGAAATGGGGGAAATTTTCCAAAATACAAAGGCAGGAGGTGCAAAAATAACATCTCAGTATATGTTTTTCTACCAGATGCTGTGCTCTCTTGACATCTACTTCGGTGTTCTCTTTCTTTCCTTGGACGTGGTTTCTCCAACACTCAGTGTTTCAGGCCTAAAAAGGCCCTTTCAGACCTGGCTGGATAGCATGCTCAAAGATCTGTATTCAAAGAGACCACCCTATGTGTTCTATCCCAAACCCTTTGAAGAAAGAATGTGATTGGCCCAGCTCTTATTTGGGGTCCCCTTCCATCCAATATGATATAACTAAGGGGTGGAATCCTGTGCCCTTTGCCCATTCAGTAGGTGTGTGGGAGGTGACTCTCTCAGGAGATTGAATAGGGTTAGAGAGAGGGCATAACCATATCTTACTGTAGACCTAAAGTGCTTCCTAGAGCTAGGGACCAGGATTCTAAATGAGACCTGAGGGAGTGGAGCTGTTGTTGACAAGAGCTGTTAGACAAACAGGACATGGAGGAGGGTGAGTTCAGATACCAAGAAGGAAACCTGTATACAAAAGCAGATATGATGGGAAGAACTGAGGCAGTTGACATTAGCCAGGGACTTGCAATCAGGCAAAAGACCATTCACCCTTCAAGGCATTGAATTCTACCCTAGATGGGGTTGTCCTTGAGGGGAAGAGTGATGAGTTTGTTCATCATCCAGCATCTAGCACAGTGCCTGGGACATGGTAGGTGTTTGAAACAAGGTTGTTGACAGAATGAATAAATGAATGAGTGACTGAGGATAGTTGAAGTAGTATCATTTCCTCTATGAAACTTAAAATCCTTCTTCCAACAGAGCCAGAATTCCCTCCTTTGTGCTCCCATTACACCAACCACATTTTATGGTCATTGGCAGATGACAAATAAACCCCTATTGCACTGAGTGAACTTTTAAAAATAGAAAGTGAGTTCTAGTAATCTTAGAATTCCCAGCTTCAACCTTGGTGCCTGGTTATGTAGGAGCTGCTTGATAATTGGCTATGGAATAAATATAACATAATAGTCTTTTGCCTTTTAATGACTCTGACACAAACACTTGATTTTTGATTACAAACTTGATAGATTTATTTATGTTTTCTAATTATGAAGCAATATTATACTAAGTATAGTCATAAGAAATAAGGAAAATTTAAAAAGATCATTCATAAATTTGTGTTTTAGTGTACTTGTCCTTTTAAAGGGATTAAATTTTAATACACATAAATATATTCATATATCTAAAATGAACATTTTCCCATATCAATACTCTTCAAACCTTGTTTTTCAATGCCTATGATATATATATTTTTGTTGTTGTTGTTTTTTGAGACAGTCTCGCTCTGTCGCCCAGGCTAGAGCACGGTGGCACCATCTCAGCTCACTGCAAGCTCTGCCTCCCCAATTCACGCCATTCTCCTGCCTCAGCCTCCCAAGTAGCTGGGACTACAGGCGCCCGCCACCACGCCTGGCTAATTTTTTTGTATTTTTAGTAGAGATGGGGTTTCACCGTGTTAGCCAGGATGGTCTCGATCTCCTGACCTCATGATCCGCCTGCCTCGGCCTCCCAAAGTGCTGGGATTACAGGCATGAGCCACCGTGCCCAGCCAATGCCTATGAAATATTTTATGCCTACAAAATATTTCATCATATATATTAAAATCTTAGGCATATTGGCTATTTCCAAATATTACAAATATTTCCTTATGAGAATTTTCTTACACATGAAGCTTCGTACTTTCCTCTAGGTACATTTCCCAAAGTGAAATTATATGATTAAAAGGCATGGACACCAGGGCTCTTGATTATTATTGCCAGTACCTCTACAGAGAGTAGATCAATTCACTTGACACCAGTGGTGTTTGGTCATGCCCATTTCCCCACATTCTCACCATTAGATGGAACTATAATTTAGAAGATGTCAATTTGATCAGTGACTCCAGTTACTCAGAACAGGGCAAGAACCCTGGCTTGCCCTGGAAGCAGCATCACTTGCTGACAGCATGAGGGCTGTAGCAGGGGCAGAGATGGAAACAACACATTTCATGTTCTCAAGTAGCTTACAGTCCTGGGTTTAGCAACATTTTATAAACACTTCATTTTAAAGCAAAGAAGAATAAAAAAAATCCTCAATACTAGAGAGTCAGCAGGAAGATAGGCACAGTCTGCTTGTCTATAGGGGGCCTTGGACATGGGTCATTTCTCACGGTGCTGTTGAAAGTAGATAAGACAGGCCTTTATGGATACTTCAGCCTGGTGTGATGTTAGAGGTGGGAGGCAGTTGCCCTGTTCATTGATAACTGGGGCATCTTTGGAAGTTCATCAGATGTCAAGAGTGACAGATGAGGACTTGGATAAGTGGGAGGCTACTTGACTCTGCAGAGCCTTTGACTGTGGGGTTCCTGACAGTGCTTAGGGGTGATGGGCAGCTTAGGCATCCTGGCCAGATACAATGAAGCCCAGAGCCTGGGCCACCTCAGGGGTGACTCAAGGAGCTCCAGTGGGAAGTGAATAGGAAACATAAGGCTACGACTTAAAGTGGAAGCAGGGCTGGGCAGGAATTTCTTAGGAGGGGGATGGTCATTTTTACAACATTAGGGGTAGAAGCCATCCCTGTGAGAAGAGACTAAAGATAAAGAGACTAATAGATTAACATTAGTCCTAGTGAGGAGTAGACTACTAGACTTACATCTTCTCTCTCTCCCTATTTCAGATTCATCCCATCTTTACTCCAATCTCCAAAAACTTAATTTATTAGGTAGAACAATTGAGTTATCTTAATTTCCTTGTCTTCTTATGCACCAAACTTTTGGGGTTTTAATTTCTCCAGTCAACGCGGTCTAGCAAAGTATTTTCCTTAAGCAAAAATTATTTTTTCATAAGATATTTGGTTCCAGCCATTAAAATGAGTTTGTAAAATCATAAATAATAGAGATCATGGCCTATATCATATTCTCAATAGACAGTAGATTTCCTCAGGCCCCTTGGCCCCAGATTTGTGTTGACCCCTTTCTTTCCTCCTTGTTGAGGGCAGAACGTTCCTTTGAACTATGTGCTAGCTTAGGCCAGGTGGTTCTTAAAGATCCTTTATTTGGGCACCAACTCTTCCCAAGATATGAGAGGTCTGGTCCAGCTTTTGGGAGGGAGGTTGCTCCTGAGAGAAATGTCTAGGCCCAGCCACTCTCCCTGTACAGAGTGGGAGTTAAGAGCACCTCTCAGCCAGGTGCAGTGGCTCATGCCTGTAATCCCAGCAATTTGGGAGGCTGAGGTGGGCGGATTACCTGAGGTCGGGAGTTCGAAACCAGCCTGACCAACATGAAGAAACCCCATCTCTACTAAAAAAAATACAAAAATTAGCCAGATGTGGTGGCATATGTGTGTAATCTTAGCTATTCCAGAGGCTGAGGCAGGAGAATTGCTTGAACCCAGGAGGCAGAGGTTGTGGTGAGCAGAGATGGTGCCATTGCACTCCAGCCTGGGCAACAAGAGTGAAACTCCATCTCAAAAAAAAAAAAAAAAAAAAAACACCTCTTGGTACAAAAACTCAGCCACTAGAGTACATGACACCAGTGCCTCTCAGTGGGGCAAGAAACTGCTGAGTGCCTAGAATGGATGTGACCAACACTTCCCACCTTGTCCCCTTGTCCCTTGTTTAGTTACTTCCTGTCTTGCAAGTAAGACAGGGGTGAGGGAGACTCTCCTGGTCTAATAAGGAGCTGCTGGAGAAGAAACTGAGGGATTAGTGGGCCATAGCCCACTAGAGAGTATTAGTGATTCATATTCCCTTTTCTTCCTGGGTCCTGGGTGGATTTCCCTGCACGCGTGAGAGTCTCAGTCTATTGCTATACAACACGATTCTGAGCTGCAAGTGAGAGAAAGCTGAAAGATGTGTCTTGACTGCAATGTGTGAAAGGCTGGAATGATTCCCGCCACCCCACGTTCTAAACATATATATGTGTGTGTGTGTCCTGGTCTTGAGTTCTACTCCTGAGGAAGCTGATCTAAATCATCCCATTCTCATTTGCATTTCATAAAAACCTTGTGAAGTAAAGTAATACATATAGTCTTTCCAGCAGAGTAGTAAGACTTCTTACTTGAGAGCTCAGAGATTATAAGAGTGCAAAATCAGAAATTGTTATGCAGCAATAGATAGCTGATATACATGCCCCAGTACTATTTTCTAGGGCTTCTTAAAACCTAGGCTTAGAAGAGACTCTGCCATTGCAGTTTTACTAACGCAAGTCATAAATTAGTTGAGATTCAAAGGGAGGGAACTCTGTAAGCTGTGAATAATAGAGGTGTGATTTTTCAAAATCCACTGATGTAATAACCACTACAGCAGGGTTTATAGACATGGGACACACAGAATAGCAGAGTCTACTGGGGATTGGGAAGTGCCTAGGGTTATCAAGATAAAATATGGGATACCAATGTAAATTTGAATTTCAGATGAATAATGAATAATTTTTAGTACAAATATGTCTCACGCAAGTCTGCATAGCGTGTAATATTTGGGACCTAGTTATACTTAAACATGGTTATTTATCTGAAATTCAAATTTAATTGGGAGCTCTATATTTTTCTTTACTATATCTGACAAACCTAGGTGAGAGACGTGAATGGCACCAGGGGCCAGGTCCTACAAGCTGTTTATTAATCTAGTTACAAGGTTGTTTAGGTCAGGTGAGAACCAGGGCATGAGAATGGAGAGGGAGAGGGCAGACGTTCAAAGCTAGTGAGAACAAGTGGGCTGAGCAGGAGGCCTGAGCATCCAGGCAGTGTTCCAAAGTGGCTGAGATTGTGACATGGGACTCAGACCAGAGAAGGATTCTCAACTCTGTACAACTGTCCTGTCAATCAGTTTTTTTTTCAGGCTTTCAAATAAGGTGGATAATAGTGGTACTTCATAGCATTGTGGCAAGAATTAAGTATGGGGTGGCTGGTATGTAGTAAGCACAGAGAACAGGTTAGGTGTAATCACATCAAAGTAACAATTATAGTAATGGTAATAGTGTTGTGAGGATTGTAGCTGGGGCAGGAGGAGTGGAGAAGAGACACATAGGAAACTAACATCCCCAGAACACATGCTCGGTCCTGGTCCTGGTGCTTTCTATTCTCCATTTTCCTTAATCATAACTGCCTTTGCAGGTATAATAAATTAACTTTAGAGATGAATGAATTGGCTTAGAGGAATTAATAAGTTTGTCTGAGTGGCAGTAGGGTCTGCCTGAGACCAGAATCTTTTCCTATAGAGAAAGACAAGTGAATATAGTTCCTGCAGGTGGACCTCAATTCATGAGCCTCCAGGTCATATCCTGCTGCCAGCCTTTTCCTACCTTGGCCTCTGTGCTGCCTTAACTCTGAGCCTTCCCTTCTCAATTATGAAACGGGAGAATAATGCCCACATTGCTTCTCCCAGAGACTTGTTGGAAGTATTCACTGTGGTAAAGGGCATGAAGGCATTTTCAAACTCTAACATGCACCATGGGTGTTGAAACTCTTCTTGAAGCCTAGCACATAAAGTGTTAATCCTGTATTCTGCTAATTCCAGGCCATGCTAGGATAAGAAAGGCAGCCCTCCCGAAGGCACTGAAGAAGGGGCTTGGTGGGGTAGGAAGAGAGAGAGAGGTGAGTTTGTGTAGTCTGGTGTGGTGTGGTGTGCTATGCTGTCTTTTTCCCCTCTAGAATACTCCACGACAAGATTCCGGAGGTAAAGCTTCCCCCAAAAGACTTACAACAGAATTTAAGGACAAAACAGTGGAGTAGGACAAGGCTCATTGCTTTTTGGTAGCCTTGCAAATAGTCCCTTGCCTGGGGTGTAGGAAGGTCTAATCCAGTGATTGATAAAATGCTGATTCCACATCTCTTTTATTGTCTGCTAAAGATTTGGTACATATTTTTAAGTCCACTGTGAACTTTTAGACTTCCCCAGAGACCAGCAGCTTAGAAATATATAGGAAAATATTGTCATTATCTATTTTATGGGTGAACATGAAGTAAACAGTGACTGACAAAGCTTGAGTGAGCTGGGTCGTCCCTCTTGCTGGGGATTTTTCTTTCTCTAATTCACCCTGGGTCTGAATATCTATCCTCCTTGCACATTGGATGTACAGCTGCATTCATTATTCTCACCAGTTCTGGCCAAATTCACCACGTAAGGAAAAAAATGGTCTGCAACCACAGACTCATATCCTGTGCAGTAATTTATGATAATGTGACAAGAGAAGGTTCTAGCTCTGACACATGTTTTCCAAGTGTGCCAGAGGTAATAGCATGATTGCTGGTGGTGTGTGTGTGTGTGTGTGTGTGTGTCTGATTGTGATGGGGGTGGCGTGGTGGGTAGGCATGAGTGTAAACGAACGTGTGGCCTTCTGAAAGGCATCTCGTGCACACCACAGTTGACAAGAGAGGCGAGAGTGTTCGCTGCTTGATAATGACATTCAGTGTTATGGGGCTGTTGTTTTTAGTGTTTAAGTTATGAAAATCTCATTTTCTCCCTAGAGGCTTTCGTTCTGCCATTCTTTAGTACATCAGGTGAGAAATCAAGTGTCATCTGTTAAAAATGATAACAGATCCCAAGTTAGCTCATAAAAATTACTGTTCCCCCCAAGTCTCTTTGGTTTGGTAAGAGTGATCTTATAAATTGTGATTTTGATTTGAGATGAGCAAGGAAGGGACAACAAAAGAGAAAGGAGGTTTGAAAGTCTTGAGTTAGAGAAAGAATTGAAAAAAATTAATGGAACTTGATTCTATTCCTTATGGATAATTAAGCATAAATGTCCATGGTAAGTCTATATCTACCTCTATCTATCTTGCATTTAGTGTGTATGTGTTTGTGTGTGTATCAGATGTCTTTTTGATGTATTCTATGAAAACTTTTTTATGATCTTGGTCTAAATTCCCTTCTTTGGGCATCCTCATATGCTCACACATGTTTTGTGGTCATTGAATTACTTGAACAGAGCTAGTAAACTGCAAGTCTTAAAGGTCCAAAGGCTTTTCTACTTTGACTATGTAGGCTCCAGAGACAGATTTTTATTGTTCTATTTATTTTTGATTTGGTCTACTATTGCACAAATCTGGTAGATTATTGAAATCCAAGGGGCCTTAACAAGAAGATTTCTGTCTTTGTAAACTTCACTTCCATGGCTCAAGTACCAGCTATCTGGGTAATAACTTCCAAAAGTAACTTCAGCAGTTAACGTTTCCTGTAAGTGTCCAACTTTTAAGTCCAACTGCCTACTTGCCAGCTCCACTGAGGCGTGTAACATGCATCTCAAACTGAATACATCTCCAATCAAACTCTTAATTCGCTTCATACCTACCTCTGATTTACTTCTGTTGCAGTATTCTGCTTTTCAGTAAATTCTATCAGCTTTTTGGGTCAGCAGTCTTGGGGTCAGCCTTGATTCCTATTTCCCACTCACAGTCCATGTAGCCAATTTATCAACAAATAATGTCAGCTCTACCTACAAAATTTGTTCAGAATCTGACCATGTCTCATCATCTCTACTGCTCCCATCCTGATTCAAGCCACCCCCATCTTTGGTCTTGACTGTGGCAATAGCCTCCTACCTGGTTTTGCCCCTTCCACCACCTATCCTGCAACAGCAATCCACATGACCCTTTAGAAACGTGGACCAGAAGATGTTGCTGTTCTGTTCAAAACTCTCCAGTGGCTTCTTATATTGCACACAGTGAAAGTCTGATCCTTCCATTGGCCATAGGTGCTCTGTGGGCTGCTCCCACCACCCCTGCTCTCGCTGCCAGCACACGACTCTTCATCCACCCTCCCCTCTTCACTCTCCATGAACGTGCATGTTCCCATGCGCTTTTTCTCTGTCTGGAGTGCTTTTCTTCCACATTTGTGCATACTTTCCCCTCATTTCTTTCTGTCTCTACTCAAGGTCACCTCCTCAGAAAGATTATCTTTCAGCATTTAAAACAGTATTCTCATTCCCTATATTCCTAATTCTGTCTTCCTTAATCTACTTTATTCTTCCTTAATCTACCTTATGGTCAGATGCCGATAACTATTTGTCTGTTTCTTCTCACTCCAATGTAAGCCTTCTAAAGCAGGATTTTTTTTTTCTTTTATTGCTGTGTTTCCTGTGGCTAGGACAATATCTGGCATGTAGAAGTTGCTCAATACTTATTTGTTAAAGAAATGAATGAATGTGTGCTCTACTGATACTTTTACAATGTTCTCATAAGTTCTTTCTAACATTAATGCAGTTTTTGTTTGGTTGGTTTTGTTTTGTTTTTTTGAGACAGAGTCTCGCTCTGTCACCCAGGCTGGAGTGCAGTGGCACCATCTCTGCTCAATGCAAGCTCTACCTCCTGGGTTCACGCCATTCTCCTGCCTCAGCCTCCCGAGTAGCTGGGACTACAGGTGCCCACCACCACACCTGGCTAATTTTTTTTGTATTTTTAGTAGAGGCGGAGTTTCACCATGTTAGCCAGGATGGCTACGATCTTCTGACCTCATGATCTGCCTGCCCTGGCCTCCCAAAGTGCTGGGATTACAGGCGTGAGCCACTGCGCCCGGCCTAGTGCAATTATTTTATGTTAATGCTCTCGGATGCGATGCAAGAAAATTTTCCATAACAAGACACTCTGAAAGTGGAGTGTGATTCGTCACTCCTCTCTTCTCACTTACTGAAAGCTCCTTGTTCTGGGGAAGAATCTGGTCAGGGCAGCCTCATAGTAGGCCATCCAGATAGAAATTAAAAGCCAGCAGAAGAGCAAGGGATTACAAATCCAGGAGAATTGTGGAGTACTGACTTCCTTCTCTCTCTTGGTAAATACTCTGAGAGTGACCTCTTCCCAAAGTCATTCTCTAGGAAGGGTAAGGTGTGTTTCTTGAGGCAGGAGAGCCTTGACAGCTCCCTGGTAACATCTGGGCCCACTTTTGCTTTTTATAGCAACTTAGAGGAAAATCTCTTAGTTATAATGCTACTTTGGAAAAACTAGAAATAAGAATTCAAAACCAAACTATTTTACAACTTTAGTCTCCTGACTCGTCTATTTTGCTTGGTTCTTCACTCTTTCCCCAGTTCCCCTGTGAAAGCTTGGTTCAGTCAGATTATTTTGCTTCAATGTTGTGAAATAGTTCTCTGCTTTCTCATGAGCTTTAAATAAGCTTCTCTCAGGGGATGAATAGGTGAGCGGTGGGTTTCTTAAAAATGAAATAACAGAAAAAGGTCGTAAAAAATAAGATGTTTGTAAAACCTGTGTAGGATGCTGTGTTTTAAACAAAGTCAGGGATGACTTTCCCTTCATTTCATTTTGTCTCTGAGGGGATTGAAGGGAAGTAATCCTCAGTCATGGTCACCACAGTCTGGCAGATGAAACCCTGTTTCCTGATGTCCCTAGGGGCAAGGATATGGGGTATCTGTAGCTGTCTGTAGCTGTACATTCCAAGGGCTCTCTAGGCCATGAGTTATGACTGTATAGACTTTGTCCATGCCTGACAGGACCTTCTTGTGTCTGATGGCAATGTAAATGCTTTCAAAAAATTTATTTCTTTTTGGATTTTCTTTTTCATTGTTGTCTGCAAAACGAATTCAGTTAGTCATGACGCTCTCTTATTTTGGTGTGTTTCCCTTTCTGGTGCCTTCCAACTGCATGGTGTCTCTGGGTGGAGGAGGAGGAGAGTCTCAGGCCCATCAGGGAAGAAGAAAGCTTCCCTGGCCCCTTAGTATGTAAGTGGGCTTCTGATCCACCCTATTTGCTGGGCTCAGGTGGTGGTATAGGTAGACTCCTATTCAATGTGGGGGAGACCTTAGCCTACCTGGGCTGCCTTCTGTTGCTAGGCTCAGATCAGAAAATGCTTGACCTGGATCACCTCTTTTGTAGGTTGGAAGGACATAGGATGCCCTGACACTGTGTCGCTTCTCCAGTCCTGCCTGGGGTCTCAAACCGATGCACCCTCGTCTTCTACCTCTCAGAGTTCCCCTTTCATTGTCTCTTGAGTTATTTTTGCAATGTTTGTTGTGGGCGGCAAGCCACCCAGGAGCCAAGGCAAGAGACCGAGGGCACAAGCTGTTCCAGTATAATAAAGAAAATAAATAAAATAAGAATAGTTATACTAGATATAGATCATAGATATGATTATATATGAATATCATTAATCATTAGTTTGTAGCAATTACTCTTTATTCCAATATTATAATAATCTTCACTCTACAATCATAACCTAGGAAAAACCAGGCCATACAGAGATAGGAGCTGAAGGGACACTGTGAGAAGTGACCGGAAGACAAGTGTGAGCCTTCTGTTATGCCCGGACGGGGCCACTAGAGGGCTCTTTGGTCTAGCGGTAACGCCAGCGCCTGGGAAGACGCCGGTTGCCTAGCGGACCTTTGTCTAGCGGTAGCGTCAGTGCCTAGAAAAAGCACCCGTTACTTAGCAGACCGGGAAAGGGAGTCTCCCTTTCCCCGGGGGAGTTAGAGAAGACTCTGCTCCACCACCTCTTGTGGAGTCAGGCCCACCCGCAGTTATCCGGAGGCCTAACCGTCTCCCTGTGATGCTGTGTTTCAGCGGTCACTCTCCTGTTTCACTTTCATGTTCCACTCTGTACACCTGGCTCCGCCCTCTAGATCGCAGTGGCAAAATTAGTGAAAGTATTAGTCTTTGATCTTTCTGAAAAGAGCATAGAAGAAATAATGACGTAAGCTGTTCTCTCTCTCTCTGCCTGGGCTACCTAACAGGGAAGGGCCCCCTGTCCGGTGGACACATGACTCACGTGACCTTATCAATCATTGGAGATGACTCACACTCTTTACCCTGCCCCTTTTGCTTTATATCCAATAAATAACAGCTCAGCCAGGCATTCGGGGTCACTACCAGTCTCTGCGTCTTGGTGGTAGTGGTCCCCCGGGCCCAGCTGTCTTTTCTTCTCTTTGTCTTGTGTCTTTATTTCTATGATCTCTCCTCTCCGCACACAGGGAGAAAGACCCACAGACCGTGTACGGCTAGTCTCTACAGTTTGCTATTGTGCATTGTGGAGAGGACTAGAGAGGGCAAGAGTCTGCCATCTTATCCAGGTCAGAAATGGAGGAGTTAAGTTTTGGAAATAATTTTTAGTGTAATACTTTTATGATCTGAAGGAGAAAGCAAATATTTTGCTTGGTCTGTAAGGCTAATTACTTCTGGATAGTGAAGTAATGGTAAGCCTGGTAAATTCCATTGGTATTAGTCATTACCTGCTTTCTTTTACTCTGAGGTGAGTTCCATTGCCAGGCGCAATGTTGTTTGAGATACCCTGATTGGACATCGTGGATTTGCGGGAACAAGCATGATGTCAGGAAAAGAAAACTTCAGCTAGAAACAATTTTTATTCCATTGAGGACTAGTTGCTCTCCTGCACATGATGACAGGAGTAAAATATAATTGACTTGTCAGAAGGTATTCAGTTGGTCCCAGAAGGTATAGTATCATCTCAGGAGCTCAAGGTGGGTGGTGTGTTTCTGTTTTTGACTTTCATATGTTGATTCTTTTCATCCCTCACTATAATTTAAGGTATCTTTCAATATTACATCATTTTTGTACATTATTTTTAATAGTTTTAAAATTATCTGTGAAGTGGCCTAAATGTAATTAGCTTAGTCATTCCTCTATTGTTGCTTCAATATTTTTTTTTTTTTTTGCTAGGATAAACACTTCTGTGATGAAGGTCTTCATACATAAATCTTATGCTATGCTTTAACTCCCTTTGTTAGAGAGTCCGTAAGAACTTTGGAGACAGTCTGCCTACATTCAGATTCTGGTGTGTAGTGTTGTGCAGGCTGTATATCAGCCGAGGCAAATGGTACCTCCTGATACAGTGCAAAGCATAACCTGCACAGCCATACATGGCAGCCCTGAATCTTGGCTCTGCCATATACTTACTGTATGAACTTTTACAAGTCATTTTACAGTTCTGCTGCCTCAGTTTCTGCATCAATAAAGTAGAGAAAATAATACCTTATAGGCCCAGCATATAGCAATTGGTATGTATGTTGTTGTTATTATTGTCAATGAGTATGACTTTCGTTGCAAACTATCAAGTAATCCTATAAACTCTGGCTGATGTCATGGTTTAGATTTAAGGCTCTTCAAGAACTACAGAACAAAGTAGATATACTCTTGGTGCCATGTTGAGGAGGGTTGAAATACTAAGCCACATTTTTCAGAAAGGAGATGAAGCACACATATGGAAAGTCAGATGGCCCTACAGGGGAATGGAAGCCCCAGAGGACAGGTGTGATTACGGGGTTATGATTTCAAAAGAGGAAAAAACAGTGAAGGAGGCAAGTGGAGAGGAGTTTGCTGGATGAGAAGGCTTCCCTGGGGAGAAGGGTATTGGGGGAGATGATTGCAAGCTCTCTTAGTAGCAGGTGGAGCAGTAGTCTGGTTCCTACCGGAGGCAGATGTTTAGGCACCATCTGTCACAGTTAATTCTGAGTCTGGGTGTTTCGCATACCTTTGGCTTCATGGGATGAGTCGCATGCTTGCATCTGTTCTCCCTCTCTGAACATTTTCCTCCTGAATGATGATCACCCTATTAACCAACACCAAAAATTTTCAAAGGAATGCTTTCAGAAAGATGCAAAATGCAGAGAATGTGTGGCCAAACTCATCTGGTTTCAGAAGATCTCTTGTCCTCAGATATGTCTACTCTCATTAAAACAAAGTATGAAGATTTCCATGGCTGGGGACACAGGCAGTGTCTTTGATGAGGTCCTCTCAAGATAGCTTAAGCGTGGACTAAACTTCATAGGGTCCACATGAAAAATTGGCTTCATTGATCCACTAAATTCTCAAGGTACAGTCCATTTCTATTCTGCCCTCAGGTGGTGCTCCAGCTAGCCCTTCACGTTCATGTCTCCCCAGATTCTAGGGAAACCATGTCCATTTCTCCCAACAGCTCTCTCACATTCCAGCCTCATCACAAGATTCTCTGGCTGTGCAAACCTTCAGCCAGGGAGGAAGTTTCAACTTGTTCCTCCTATCTGACAATGCCAATCCCCAAAAATTAGTTTTTGGGAACTCCGTCTGTTGTTTTGGGGTAGGTGAGGGGCAAGAATCTTCTCTAATGATTCCCCCTTTAATTAACACAAATCTTCTTTCACGTAAGCTGGATGTTAAAGATGGGCTGAATGAGTTTGGTGGCTTAGTGAGCCAAGTCAGCATAGGCTAAATGCTATAACAAACACCTCAGTGGCTTTAAATGGTCATGTCATTGACGAAAGTGGTCAATATGTTGGTGGTTGTAGAGGAGCTCTGCTCTGTGTAGTTGCTCAGTATCTAGACTTCTTTCACTAGTGTATTTGCTGTATTCTATGTGAATGGTCTTATTTTGTGCCATGGCTTCCTTTGGTAGTCTGTTAAAACCAATAGAGTGTGGTTAAAAATGATATTGTGTTGGTTCTGAGCCTGGGACTCAGGAAACTTTGCACATTTCTGCTCTTTTTCTTCAAATCCTGCCACTTCCAAATGAACAAGCCTGGATTTGTCTGCTGGAAAATGAGAGACACGTGGCCAGCTGTGCAGTCACCCCAGCCTATAGCTAGCCAAACTCCAGAAGGAGAGAAGGTCGCTGACCTGCCTCTGACTGTGGACACAAAAGGGAGCCATGACAAGACTAGACGAATCACCCAACAAGCTTGGCCTAAGTTGCTGACCTGCTGAATTATGATATAAATAAATGGTTGTTATTTTAAGCCACTACGTTTGGGGTGGTTTGTTTCATAGAAATAATTCACTGATACAAGGAAGATAACTTTCCTTTTAATTGACATGGCTGGTTGGTGAGATAGTTCCTTTCACTTACGTTGCATTGCTGAAAGCTAGTTATCAGGCCTCCCTTACATGGAAGAGGAGACTATAAAATGTAGTCCAGCAGTGTAACCAGAAGAGGCAGAGGACATGGATATCGGTGGATCCCCGTCATAAGCACTTACTCATTTTTCTGGGGCAATGGACACACTTTCTGTTGACTTCTTACAAATCTTGGAGTCTCAGCTGAAGCTTCTGTACAAAGTCAGAATTATTATGTAAAATCTTGTTGTGCCTTGTGATAGAGAAGATCACTATCTTATGTTCTGATGACTCTCCAAAGAGGGTAGGATTCTGTTTAAGTAGTCTCAGGGCCTGGTTATCTTTATTTCAAGGAGAGAAAGGAGGAAGCTTAGTGTAGGCCGACAGGTCTGAGCCATAACCTTCAACTGCATTTTTCAAGCCCCTCTAGTTTCTTGTGTATATTTCCTGTGGTGAGGAACCCCACTGGGAAGAGAGGTCATGGCAGGATTTATGCATTCTTGTGTTGTTGTGTTGTGATTTCTGTCATCACAGCAGAATCAATATCTTTGTTTATTGTTCTTAGGAGTCAGTATCCAGTCTATTGTCTATAGTTCTAGTAGCATGATTTATGATTCATGAGTTTAAATGATGTCTCAACACTGTAACACCACACACAGACACTGTAGATTATGTTAGAGGGAACACAATGCGTCAGACAGACCCAGGTCTCAATCCCTTCTTTTCTACTTACTAACTTTGTGACCTTGGGTAAATTCTTTAAATTCAGGTGCCTGTTTCCCTTTAGCAAAATGTAGACAATCATAGCAAACATCCCTGTTTCTTGTAAGCATTACATGAAAGAAAGAATGTGAAAGTACTTGGCACTCGTAGATGCTCTGCAAATGCTAACTGAATCTAAATTAGAGGAGAAGCAAGCTAGTGTTTTAAAACATACTTTAATAAGTAGAAATAGATCACAATGTTGAGTTAATCATAGCACATTGTAATCATACATCCATGTAAGGCCCCTCTCTTGTGTGAATCCATTAATTTTTCCTTTATCCCTGTTTCACTGTCTCATTTATCTTCTTCCATAGGTATCTGTTACATACACTTTATATATAATCAAATTTATTTATCTTTGAAAAATAGTTTGTTGTATGTAAAGTTGGATTGTTTGTAACTCACAAGATAAATTCTTGAGGGAACAGGTACCCCATTCGTCATGATGTGCCTATTTCACATTGCATGCCTGTATCAAAACATCTCATGTACCCCCTAAATATATATAACTACTATGTACCCACAAAATTTTAAACAAGTTTATGCAAATGGCATTATACTATAAATTTCTGTCTTTTTAAAAACTTTTCACCCAGCATGTTTTAAATGATTGTCCATGGTGCTGAATGCTGTCTCATTCATGACTTTTGAGGCTAAATAATGTTGCGTTACATTTTCTACCTTTAACTTACCCATTCCCCAATTGTTGGATACCTACGTTATCTCCAATACCAAAAATATGCATTAAAACATCTTCTAAAATGCATTTTTACCAACCTGCTGGAAAATTTCTCTAGGATATATGCCCAAGAGAGGGACTTATGGATCACAGATGTGTGCATACTTATTTTATTGAGGACACAACCAGACGGCTTTCTAGGAGGGCCGTACCAGTTTATACAACTGTCAGTAGTGCATGAGGAGCCGGTTTTCTGACATCTTCACCATCTTTCTAATTTTTGTATTATAATGGATATACAATGGTATCTTACTGTCATTTTAGTTTTTATTTATCTATATACTTGTGTGTGTAAGAGTCTCCTTATATGTATTTTGGCCATTCAGGAATCCCTTCTCTGCATCATCTCCTCATGTCCTAGGGAATCAGTTTTCTCAATGCTATATGCCAACCAAATCATCCCTTCCCTATTGCTTTAAAGAGTCACATCTACTGTGAATCAAAGTCACACGCAAACAAATCTATTTCTGAGGTCTCTATTCTGTTCCGATTTGTTCTATTTATCTCTATCCATGTTAGTCCATACTGTTTATATAACAATGGCCTTTCCTACATCTTAATATCATAAAGAATAATGTGCTCTCCCCACCTCATCTTTCCTCTTTTATTTCAAAACTGACTTAGCTCTTCATGAATTCTATTCTTCCTTTGTATCCTCAGTGCCAATTTATTAGCTTGTTGTCCCAACGCAGTTTATTGAAAGAGCTAGCTTTTAATAACTAATGTGGTGTTAATCACTCATCTACATTTCTAAGATATAGTATGTAGTGTTCTTAGTTTTGCTAATTTTTTTCTAGTCATCATTTTCTTTTCCTCTTTAACCAAAGAGTTATTTTAGAGAGTGACTTTTAACAACTCAAAGTGACTCTATTTTTAGGGTTAATATGTTCTTATTAGTGTCTAGTTTTACTGCACTTTGCTTAGAGATGTGGTCTGCATAATATATACTTTTTAGAATTATAGATTGTCTTTGTGGTCTAATATGATAGATTTATGTGAATGAGCCATGGGCACTGGAAATCTATTCTCCATAGAGTTAAAGTTTGGTAATTATTAGACCAACCTTTATTATTTAACTCAAAGCCTTTTATCTAGTATTAGTAAACCATAGGGGGCCACAAAGAAGTTCATGAATGGGCTTCAAGGTATCCATAAATTCCCTGACATGCAGGCAATATGCACATGCTTCTGAGTGAGGAGAGAAAATTCATGAGATTCCCATAGGGGTCCAAGAGTCTAAAAAGATGAACAACTACAGGATTAATTTTTGTTTTATGTTTGTTTATTTATATCTATTTGATCTGTCAATAGCATTATAACTGTGCTTTTAACAATTTTGTCTTGTTTTTATACTTCTTTTCATTCTATATATTGAAGCAATGTTGACTGATGCATATTTGTGGATATTTATAATGTAACTACATATTTTATTCTTTTCATTATAAAATGTTAATTATAAAGCCATTAAGAATCCTTTTTAATATATTTGCCCTGAATTCAGCAGTGTCTGATTTTATTACTCAATTGTAGCTTTCAGTTTATTTGTGTTTGTCTGATGTATTTTTTCAACTTTAGGCTTTTTGCTTAGTTGGATTCTTTTTGTATCAATTATATTTAATACGGAATTTTAATCTTTCTATGTTCATTGCAATAAATGATATATTTGCTCCTACTTCTGTCATTTTGTTTTTATTTGGTTGTTGATGTTCATGCTTTGCTTTTTTTGTCATTTCTGTCTTTTGCTGTATGTTAGATGCATTCATTGTTTTTCTTTTCTCCAGCAGTTTGGGTACTTTAATTTCAGTCTATTTTAACACCACATTTTTAATCCTTTAAATTTTTTTCAAACGTGATAACGTATATCTATTTGATATGACAATTGGTTTCCCTTAAGTCCCCTTTATAATTTAAAATAAGAATTTGAACATACTTTTATGTACTCTCTTTTTCTTTTCTATTTACTTATACAAACTTACATTTTAATTTAGCTTTATGCAATTTCATAGTTTTGTATTATGTATTTCATGAGCATATTATCATTTGTATTAAGTCATATTTATAATAATTTAGTCATTTTGTATTAGTCGTTATCACTAGTCTCTACCAATAATTTTATATTATGATTTCTCCTGTCTTGGTATCTTAATTTTGCTTTATCTTTTGTCAGTGTTTCATGTCCATCTTCAAGTAATTTTTAAAAGATAATGTATTTTCAAGTCTCTTTCATTCTTGAGATTATCTTTCTTTGCCTTCCCATATAAATGACAGCTAGGGTCAATGTGAATGTGTTGATTAGCAATTGATGCCTTAAAAGCCACATCAAAAGTTAACAGAGGCTGAGGGGTGGGGGTATTGGGGAGATGTTGGTCAAAGGACACAAAGTTTCAGTTAGAAAGAAGGAATAAGTTAAAGAGATTTATCTTACACCATGGTGATTGCAGTTAAGAACAATATATTCACTTTGGGAGGCCGAGGCGGGCAGATCACGAAGTCAGGAGATCGAGACCATCCTGGCTAACACGGTGAAACCCCGTCTCTACTAAAAATACAAAAAATTAGCCAGGCGTGGTGGTGGGTACCTGTAGTCCCAGCTACTCGGGAGGCTGAGGCAGGAGAATGGTGTGAACCCAGGAGGCGGAGCTTGCAGTGAGCTGAGACTGTGCCACTGCACTCCAGCCTGGGCGACAGAGTGAAACTCCATCTCAAAAAAAAAAACAATATATTATATATTTGAATATTGCTAAGAGAATAGACTATACGTGTTCTTACCACAAAAAAGGCGTATATATATCTATAAAGTTATATAAACATAAAGGTATGTATAAAAAGGTATATATATGTATATATAAAAGTACATATATATAATGTTCTACACCATAAATATAATTTTTCCTTGTCAATTAAAAATATTTTTTAAAAGTCAGCGACTCATGGCTGGGCGCAGTGGCTCATGCCTGTAATCCCAGCACTTTGGGAGGTTGAGTCAGGGGGATTACCAGGTCAGGAGATCAAGACCATCCTAGCTAACACGGTGAAACCCCATCTCTACTAAAAATACAAAGAAATTAGCCGGGCATGGTGGCGGGCGCCTGTAGTCCCAGCTGCGGGGTAGGCTGAGGCAGGAGAATGGTGTGAACCTGGGAGGCAAAGCTTGCAGTGAGCCGAGATCGCGCCACTGCACTCCAACATGGGCGACAGAGCGAGACTCGGTCTCAAAAAAAAAAAAAAAAAAATCAGCGATTTAAGACAATAATCTTTTATTTAGCTCAGAATTCTGCAGGTTTCCAATTTGGGCTGAGCTCTGCTGAAAACTTCTGGTCTAGGATGGTCTCAATTATGTATTTGTAGTAGCTGCCGGGTTGGCTAGGGCCTGGCCTCATCTGGAATGGCTCTGTCCTCTGTGGACTCATCCTGCAGCTGGCGAGGCCAGGCTTGTTTCTATGGCAGCTTGGCAGGCTTCCAAGAGAAAGCACAGAACATGCAAATTACATGCATTTGCAAGGCCTAGGCTTGCCACTGGCACAGCATAACATCTAACATGTTCTATTGTCCAAAGCAAGGAACTGAGACCAGCAGCTCATGTTGCAGGAGTGGGAAAATAGACTCCACCTCCTAATGGGAGATGCTGCAAAGTCACATTGCAAAAGGGGACTCATAAAACAAGGGGATGCTCATTGCCATTTTAGCAAACCAGTCTACTATAGCATGCAGAATTTCTGACACGATCCCTTACAAACTGAAGATATTATTTATTTATCTCGTGGTATTTAGTGAGTTGTCCTATTTTACTTATATTCATATTTATTTGATATTTATTCTTTTTTGTTTGTTTGTTTTTTCTTTATATTTCAGAATTGCTCCTCAGCTTTTCAGGTATGTCCTTTGCAGGACAGATGAAATTTCTGTAACATTGGATTTCTTCTTTGCTGCTTTCAATATTTTTTATTAAATTATCTTGTAATGAACCCTTCTAACATGTTTTCTGTCCCTTTATCAGCAGTAAATTTTAATTGCCAACTTTTCTCATCTCATGATGAGGTCATGCTTCCTCTCTCTCCTTTTATGGTCACCTAATACTTTTAGGAAATTTGATTCTGGACTAACAGATTATCTCCAAAGACATTGTGCAAACTTTGAGTGTTCTCTCTTCTTTGTTTTGTAGATTTTTAAAATAATAGTCTCATAAGTGTTTTTCTCTTTATAATCAGAAAAGCCGAGGAAGGTGGGTCACAAGGTCAGGAGATCGAGAACATCCTGGCCAACATGGTGAAACCCCGTCTCTACTAAAAATACAAAAATTAGCCGGGTGTGGTGGTGCATGCCTGTAGTCCCAGCTACTCGAGAGGCTGAGGCAGGAGAATCCCTTGAACCCGGGAGGCGGAGCTTGCAGTAGCCGAGATCTCGCCACTGCACTCCAGTCTGGCGACGGGGCAATACTCCATGTCAAACAAAAAACAAAAAAGAAAAAAAAAGTAAAGTTAATCTAGAGTCACTTTGTTTCTCTTTTTTCGTTCTTTTAAAAGTTAAATATTAAAAATTATATTGGTAAAATGATATATTCACAAACTAAAACATCAAGCAGTATGGAAAAATGTAAATAAGAAAGTAAATTTTGGCCAGGCATGGTGGCTCACGACTGTAATCCCAGCACTTTGGGAAGCTCAGGTGGGCAGAGGTCAGGAGTTTGAGACCATCCTGGCCAACATGGTGAAACCCTGTCTCTACTAAAAATACAAAAATTAGCCAGGCGTGGTGGCAGACACCTGTAATCCCAGCTACCCAGGAGGCTGAGACAGGAGAATCACTGGAACCCGGGAGGCGGAAGCTGCAGTGAGCAGAGACAGCGCCATTGTACTCCAGCCTGGGCAACAAAAACAAAACTCCATCTCAAAAAAAAAAAAAAAAAAAAAAGACTGAAAGAACACAAACTGACATCTAATTCTAAGGTCACACCTCAAGGAACTAGAGAAACAAGAACAAACCAAACCCAAACCCAGCAGAAGAAAGGAAATAACCAAGATCAGAGCAGAACTAAATGAAATTGAAACAAACAAAAAAATGCAAATGATAAGTAAAACAAAAATCTGGTTCTTTCAAAAGACAAATAAAATTTCAGACCCTTAGCAAGATTAACCAATAAAAGAGGAATGAAAATCCAAATAACCTCATTAAGAAATGAAACAGGAGATATTACAACTGACACCACAGAAATACAAAAGATCACTCAAGGCTACTATGAACACCTTTATGCACATAAACTAGAAAACCTAAAAGAGATGGATAAATTCCTGGAAAAATACAACCCTCATTGCTTAAATCAGGAAGAATTAGATACCCTGCACAGACCAATAACAAGCAGCAAGACTGAAATGGTAATTAAAAAATTACCAACACAAAGAAAAGTCCAGGAGGCTGGATGCAGTGGCTCACGCCTGTAATCCCAGCACTTTGAGAGGCCAAGATGGACAGATAGATAACTTGAGGTCAGGAGTTTGAGACCAGACTGGCCAACATGGGGAAACCCTGTCTCTACTAAAAATACAAAAATTAGCTGGGCATGGTGATGCATGTCTGTAGTCCCAACTACTTGGGAGGCCGAAGCAGGAGAATCGCATGAATCTGGGAGGTGGAGGTTGCAGCGAGCCAAGACTGTGCCACTGCACTCCAGCCTGGGCAAGAGAGCGAGACTCCGTCTCAAAAAAAAAAAAAAGTAACAAAAACAAAAACCCAAAAAACAAACAAAAAGCCCAAGACCAGATGGATTCATAGCAGAATTCTACCAGACATCACAGAAGAATTGGTACCAATACTTTTGACACTATTCCACAAGATAGAGACAGAAGCAACCCTCCCTAATTCATTCTATGAAGCCAGCATCACCCTAAAATACCAAAACCAGGAAAGGACATAACCGAAAAAGAAAACTACAGACTGGTATCCTTGATGAACATAGATGCTAAAATCCTTAACAAAATACTAGCTAACCAAATCCAACAACATATCAAAAAGATAACCCCGCCATGATCAAGTGGATTTCATACCAGGGATACAGGGATGGTTTAACATATGCAAGTCAATAAATGTGATACACCCATAAACAGAATTAAAAACAAAAATTACATGATCATCTTAATAGATGCAGAAAAAGCATTTGATAAAATCCAGCATCCATTTATGATTAAAACTCTCAGCAAAAGTGGCATACAAGGGACGTACCTCAATGTAATAAAAGCTATCTATGCCAAACCCACAGCCAACATAATACCGAGTAGGGAAAAGTTGAAAGCATTTCCTCTGAGAACTGGGACAAGACAAGGATGCCCACTCTCACCACTCCTCTTCAACATAGTACTGGAAGTCCTAGCCAGAGCAATCAGATGAGAGAAAGAAAGAAAGCGCATCCAAATCAGTAAAGAGGACGTCAAACTGTCACTGTTTGCTGGCGATTTGATCATTTACCTTGGAAACCCTACGGACTCCTCCAGAAAGCTCCTAGAACTGATAAAAGAATTCAGCAAAGTTTCTGGATACAAGATTAATGTACCCAAATCAGTAGCTCTTCTATACACCAACAGCGACCAAGAGGAGAATCAAATTAAGAACTCAACCTCTTTTACAATAGCTACAGAAAAAAAAAAAAAAACTTAGAAATATACCTAACTAAGGAGGCGAAAGACCTCTACAAGGAAAACTATAAAACACTGCTGAAAAAAACATAGATGACACAAATGGAAAAACATCCCATGCTCATGGATGCGTAGAATCAATATTGTGAAAATGACCACACTGCCAAAAGCAATCTACAAATTCAGTACAATCCCCATCAAAATACCACTATTATTCTTCACAGAATTAGAAAAAACAATTCTAAAATTCATATGGAACCAAAAAAGAGCCCACATAGCCAAAGCAAGACTAAGCAAAAAGAACAAATCTGGAGGCATCACACTACCTGATTTCAAACTATACTATGAGGCCATAGTCACCAAAACAGCATGGTACTGGTATAAAAATAGGCACATAGGGCCGGGCATGGTGGCTCACGCCTGTAATCTTAGCACTTTGGGAGGCCAAGGCAGGTGGATCACAAGGTCGGGAGATCAAGACCATCCTGGCTAACACGGTGAAACCTCGTCTCTACTAAAAAAAAAAATTAAAAATTAGCTGGGCATTGTGGCGGGTGCCTGTAGTCCCAGCTACTCAGGAGGCTGAGGCAGGAGAATGGCATGAGCCTGGAAGGCAGAGCTTGCAGTAAGCCAATATCGTGCCACTGCACTCCAGCCTGGAAGACAAAGCGAGACTCTGTATTTCAAAAAAAAAAAAAAAAAAACTCATAGGCCAATGGAACAGAATGGAGAAACCGGAAATAAACCCAAATACTTACAGCCAACTGATCTTCAACAAAACAAACAAAAACATAAAGTGGGGAAAGGACACCCTTTTCAACAAATGGTGCTGGGATAATTGGCTAGCCACATGTAGGAGAATGAATCTGGATCCTCATCTCTCACCTTATACAAAAATCAACCAAGATAGATTAAGGACTTAAATCTAAGACCTGAAACTATAAAAATTCTAGAAGATAACATTGGAAAAACCCTTCTAGACATTGGCTTAGGCAAGGATTTCATGACCAATAACCCAAAACCAAATGCAATCAAAGCAAAGATAAATAATTGGGACTTAATTAAACTAAAGAGCTTTTGCACAGCAAAAGGAACAGTCGACAGAGTAAACAGACAACCCATAGAGTGGGAGAAAATCTTCACAATCTATACATCTGACAAAGGACTAATATCCAGAATCTACAACAAACTGAAACAAATCAGTAAGAAAAAAACAAACAATCCCATCAAAAAGTGGGCTGAGGACATGAATAGACAATTCTCAAACGAAGATATACAAACTGCCAACAAACATATGAAAAAAATACTCAGCATCATTAATGGTCAGGGAAATGCAAATCAAAACCAGAATGCAATACCACTTTACTCCTGCAAGAATGGCCATAATCAAAACAATAAAAAAAACTGTAGATGTTGGCATGGATGCAATGAACAGGGAACACTTCTACACTGCCGGTGGGAAAGTAAACTAGTACAGCCACTATGGGAAACAGTATGGAGATTCCTTAAAGAACTAAAAGTAGAATATCGGGGGTGTAGGTTCTTTCTGTTTTCCCTAAGTGTCAGCCAGTCTGAGAAACAAAGAGAAAGAGTACAAAGACAGGAATTTTACAGCTAGGCCGCCAGGGGTGACATCACATATCAGTAGGTCTGTGATGCCCACCTGAGCCGCAAAACCAGCAAGTTTTTATTAGGGATTTCAAAAGGGGAGGGGGTGTATGAACAGGGAGTAGGTCACAAAGATCACATGCTTCAAGGGGCAAAAAGGAGAACAAAGATCACATGCTTCTGAGGAAACAGGACTAGGGCAAAATCAGAACTCCTGATAAGGGTCTATGTTCAGCAGTGCACGTATTGTCTGGATAAACATCTTAGCAGAAAACAGGGTTCAAGAGCAGAGAACCAGTCTGACCTCAAATTTACCAGGGCTGGGGTTTCCCAATCCTAGTAAGCCTGAGGGTACTGCAGGAGACCAGGGCGTATCTCAGTCCTTATCTCAACAGCATAGGACAGACACTCCCAGAGCGGCTGTTTATAGACCTCCCCCAGGAATGCAATTCTTTTCCTAGGGTCTTAATATTATATTCCTTGCAAGGAAAAGAATTTAGCGATATCTCTCCTACTTTCACGTCCATTTATAGGCTCTCTGCAAGAAGAAAAATATGGCTCTTTTTGCCTGACCCCACAGGCAGTCAGACCTTATGGTTGTCTTCCCTTGTTCCCTAAAATCGCTATTATTCTGTTCATTTTCAAGGTGCACTGATTTCATATTCTTCAAACACACGTTTTACAATCAATTTGTACAGTTAACACAATCATCACAGGGTCCTGAGGTGACATACATCCTCAGCTTATGAATATAACAGGATTAAGAGATTAAGACAGGCACAAGAAATTATAAGAGTATTATTAGGGAAGTGATAAATGTCCATGAAATCTTCACAATTTATGTTTTCTCTGCCGTGGCTCCAGCCGGTCCCTCTGTTTGGGATCCCTGACTTCCCACAACAGTAGAACTACCATTTGATCGAGCAATCCTACTACTGGGTATCTACCCAGAGGAAAAGAAGTCATTATATGCAAAAGATACTTTCACATGCATGTTTATAGCAGTACAATTCACAATTGCAAAATCATGGAACCAACCTAAATGCCCATCAATCAACAAGTGGATAAAGAAAACTGTGGTATATTTATATGCTGAAATACTACTCAGCCATAAAAAGGAATGAATTAACGGCATTTGCTGTGACCTCAATGAGATTGGAGACTATTATTCTAAGTGAAGTAACTCATGGAATGGAAAACCAAACATTGTATGTCCTCACTGATATGTGGGAGCTAAGCTGTGAGGATGTGAAGGCATAAGAATGATACAATGGACTTTGGGGACTTGAAGAGTGGGAGGGGGGCAAGGGATAAAAGACTACAAATATGATGCAGTGTACACTGCTCAGGTGATGGGTGCACCAAAATCTCACAAATCACCACTAGAGAACTTACTCATGTAACCAAATACCACCTATACCCCAATAACTTGTGGAAAAAAATTTTTAAAGTAAAAATAAATAAAACATGTTGCTTTAGTTCAGTGGCTGTCTGCCCCAGCCACACATTAGAATCGCCTGAGAGCTTTTAGAAACTAGTGGCTTGTAGCTACTGTACACTGGGACTCTAGCAGGGTTTCACTTGATAGAGATCTTTCCTTAATTGGTCTTGGCTGGATTCCAGGCATCTAAATTTTTTTAAAGCTTCCTACATGAACCTAATGTGTATCCAGGGTTAAGAACCATTGCATCTTAAGAATAACATATTTCAAGCCTGGGTAACATAGTGAGACCTCGTCTCTACTAAAAATAAAAATTTAGTTGGGCGTAGTTGCCTGCGCCTATAATCCTAGCTACTCGAGAGTCTGAGGTGGGAGGATCCAAGAGTCCCAGGCTGCAAAGAGCCGTGTTTGTGCCACTGTACTCCAGCCTGGGTGACAGAGTAAGACTTTGTCTTAAAAAATAATATATTTCAGCTGTAACTTTTTATACCTTAGAAGTGAATTAATTTTTAGTCAGATTACTTTCTATTGGCATGCCTTTCTTTTTCTTTTTATGCTGCTTTTATACCCTTTAAGACATTAAGCAAGATTCCAGGCACAAAATATGTTCTTACTACGTTCTGATTGAAGTGAATTAAAAAAAAACAAGGCAGTTTCTTAAATGTAGTCTTAATCCTGTTATGGCTGTTTATCCAAATCACTTGTAAATGTATGCATATTGTATATAACAAACTACATGAATATTGTCTGTAGTATTTGCATTATTTTTCCCATACATACATTTAAGCTTTTGCCCTGACCCCCCCCAAAAAAAAACTGTGCTAATTATAATTTTAGAGGGCCAATGCTGAAGGTCCTAAAAAGTCCCCCCAAAACTGTCAACTATAGAGAATAAAGCCCATTTAGATGAGGACTTCCAAAGAAAGGAAATAGGGACAGTCAATCAAGAGTACTGCTGAGATCAATGATGTTAAGAATTTTAGACTTGGAAAAAGCTCAAGGATGAGTATATTGGAGAGAACAAGATGCAAAATACTACTTAAATTATAGGCAGGAATGATGAAAAAGGACGTAGTCAAAAGTAGATGGAGGTTGGGTGTGGTGACTCACATCTGTAATCCTAGAACTTTAGGAGGTCAAGGTGGGAGGATGCTTGAGGTCAGGAATTCAAGACTAGCCTAGGCAACATAGTGAGACCCCATCTCTCAGACTGCATATATATATATATATATATGCATGTCTCCTGCAGATAGATAAAGCAGGGAAATAGAACTGAGAAAGGAAAGGAAAGAATTACAGATTTGCTGGACTAAAATGTATCTTGAGAGAATTCAAGACAAGATTATAAACTAGTCCAGATCATTTCCTACTTTTTTATTTAAGCCTGTGGAGCATGGTTTAAAATTACAGGACAGGCATGGTATCTCACACCTATAATTCCAACACGTTGGAAAGCTGAGGCATGAGGATCTCTTGAGCCCAAGAGTTCCAGAAAAGCCTGGGCAACATGATGAAACCCCATCTCTACTTGTGGTGGTGTGCGCCAATAGTCCCAGCTACTCAGGGTCTGAGATGGGAGGATTGCTTGAGCCCAGGAGGTTGAGGCTGCAGTGAGCCATGATCATGCCACTGCACTCCAGCCTAGACAACAGAGCGAGACTCTGTCTCAAAAAAATAAAATTACAGCAGTAAGTTCTAAAAAAAGAAATACGATGAAAATGTATATCAAAAAATAGTAAGAAGAGTGAACACCTGAAAATTCATCTGCTAAGGGTCATTAAGCTGGAAAATATGACAACATGATCATTTCTGGGCATATTTGAAAAGGGTTCCCAAACATCACAAACTCAAGTTGCAGTTTGCTCCAGTAACAGTAGCATGATGATCACTCTCATGAGAGTGGCTCCTGTGTCATAAAAGACCCCAGAGAAGAATGATACCTTGAAAGCCTCCAGTGAAATCCATTTAGGATACTGAAAGAATGGAATTTGATTTGCGCATCCTCTTTTCATTATTCCATAGTTCCCCAAAAATTAAGAAGAGAATCCAGTGAGACTGGTAAAATATTTCAATACCTCTTTAATAACACTCTGAATTTGTATAATATTATGACTCATTACTGTGGATGTAAGATGTGCAATGGTTCTTTATTCTCTCCACCATCATTAAGGCAGGGGCAGAAGTAGGGATAAAGTTTCTCCATGAAAGTGTTACTGAAGGTGTAAATGTGAGTCATGGTTTTAGCATTGTAGAAGGACAACTGTCCTCCTTCATAATCCAGGTATATGCCCACCTTGTCGAGGTTGTTAGTCAGTGTCAGACTGAAAGAAGGCAAATCCAGAGCCTTTAGATCAGTTTGGTTCCTTAGTCTTAAAAGCCAGAATCCTTGCTCAGGAGTTAGAGGACAGCTGCCCTTCCGAATGATGGATTCTCTGACAACTCCAACTGTCCATTTTGTCTTCTTTGCTACTTCTACTTCCCAGTACCACTTTCCAGAGGTGAAGCCTCTTGAGCCCAGTACAGCCACACTTGAGTCAAACCTCTCAGGATCATCAGGCATTATCTTCTTAATGTCACCATGCCAGACGCTGGTTTGGCTTTTGGAGAGCACCAGATTTGGGTGAGCTGTTTTAGGGTCCAGAGTTAGTGGAGACAGGCCTAGTAAGAAAATAAAAGAAAGCAGAGCATGGGAGAAAAGGGGGTAAACACAAATTCCCACAGTAAAAGATAGTATTTCATATTCAATAGTACTTTATCTCCCCATACACATAGACTCTTAGACAGGCAAGCAATTACTTATATGCTTTTTTTTTTTTTTTTTTTTTTTTTTTGAGGCAGACAAGGTTGCCCAGGGCTGGAGTGCAGTGGTGCGATCTCGGCTCACTGCAACCTCCGCTTCCTGGGTTCAAGCAATTCTCGTGCCTCAGCCCCCCAAATAGCTGGGATTACAGGTGTGTGCCACCACACCTGGCTAATCTTTGTAATTTTTTAGTAGAGACAGGGTTTCGCCATGTTGGCCAGACTGGCCTTGAACTCCTGGCCCCAAGCAACCCACCTGCCTGGGCCTCTCAAAGTGCTGAGATTACAGGCATGAGCCACCGCACCTGGCCACTTACATGCTTTTTATTGTTTGGGTATCCATGTTACTATATTCTAGACATTTTTATATTTAGGGTAAAAATCAGGGTTTACTCAGAAGTAATTTATGCTCTACTAAAGGAAACAATACAAATAATATAAACCTATACTAATAAATATAAGAAAATACAAATGCCAAAGGGGTAAAAATTAGGTAAGGATGTTCTAGGAAAGCTTTCTGAGGAAGGTAAGTATTCAGTTGTATATACATGAGATGTATTTAGGATGTTTTGAATAAACGGAAAGAAAGAAATGGATTAAAAACAGTCCCCTGTGTGGAAGAGAACACAAGAGCTTGCCTGTTAGACACAGGCAAGACTGAACTAACTGGTACAGAGTTTAGAGGACAATAGTGAGAGGTTTATTTTGGTTTAACAGATAATGAGATTTTTGAGATCTAGAGTGGTTTATGTCATTGCTACTCATAATGTGGTCCACATACCATGTGGTTAACAGTCTCGGACAAAGATAGTATAGAAATTAACAGTAAACTTTTAAAAACTTTCATAGCAAATTGACAGTAATTTTATGTCAGTTGAATCTAATAATTACAAAATTGGGCTTGTACTTTGTAATCTTTGCTTTTTTTAATTTTACTTTTTCAAGTAATTTATATTGTATTCTACAAAAGTATCAGTCCATGACAGATTGAGATTTTTTTGATTGGCCCTTCATCACAGATAATTTTACAAGCATTGGTTTAGACAATTCAAAGGGCAGCAGTATAAAAAAGAATATCTAAACTAAATGAAGAGAGGTTGAAAGCTGACCAGCAAGAGGATGACACAAATTCCAGATGTGAGATCATTGGACCTTGACATGAAATTTGATAAAGGAGACCTAATAGCTATGTGTGTGCACACCATGGACACAGATACATGTATGCATGCATTTGTTGTTATTGGATTTATTTATCCTTGGAAGCAGAATCAATCTAGTTTCTCTCTCTCTGTTTTTTGTTTGTTTGTTTGTTTTGTTTTGTTTTTTTTGAGATAGATTCTTGCTCTGTCCCCCAGGCTGGAGTGCAGTGGCACAACCTCGGCTCACTGCAACCTCCGCCTCCTGGGTTCAAGCAATTCTGCTTCAGCCTCCTGAGTAGCTAGGATTACAGGCATGCAACACCACGCTCAGCTGATATTTTTTGTAATTTTAGTAGAGACAGGATTTCACCATGTTGGCCAGGCTAGTCATGAACTCTAGTCTAACTCTATCTTCTCAGAAAAGCCTGAGTCTTTTCCATTATCCCAGGGACTTCTCTTTCCAACAAGAGGCTTTGAAGAATTAAGAATCTTGAATTTTTCCATATAGGCTAAATCCCTATCCCCTTACATATCCCCATTCACTTTGGGTTGTTAATCTTTCTGATGTGAGGACTGGGTTTTCTTTGGAGGTACCATAAAGACTTTTTAGCAACGTTTTGGAATCCCACTCTGCTCTCTTTGCTAAGCCTCTGACACATCTCTAGCTAGTTCAGCCTGCACTGGCTCTGAAGATTCCCATGAGTCAGCTTTTTGTCCTCTCTTTCCTTCTCATGCCATGTTCATATAACGAAAAGTTCTGTCAGCTCCACCTTGAAAATATATCTTGTGCCCAAACACTTCTGACTACTTCCAGAAATATCACTGGCCTGGAACTACTGCAATAGCTTTTTACTCTTCTGTTTCCTCTCTTGCCCATCTGCACCCTATTCTACACATATCATGAATGAGATCAAGCCATTTCCCTGCTCAGCATACTCTTATGTTTACCGTCACATCTGAGATAAAATCCAGAGTCCTTATAGAGGAAAAAAGAGCCACATGATTTACCTACCTCTCTACTTCATCTCCTACCACACTTTCCCTCATTTACTTTGATTCATCCACCCTTGTCTTTTGGCAGTTCCTTGAACATAATGAAGATCATTCCTACTTCAGGGTCCTTATAATTTCTTCCCTTGTCCTAGAATGCTTTTTCCCCATATGGTTCACTCCACATTATTTGGGCATTTGTTCATGCAAATATTTTAAATTGAAAAATTCCCTAAGCTAGAGTAGGCAAACTACAACCAACAGGTCAAATCTGACCCACTGCCTACTTTGTAAGTAAAGTTTTATTGGAGCACATTTATGACCATTCATTTATATGTTGTCTGTAGCTTCTTTTTCACTACAAGAGCAGAGTTAAGTAGCAGCAACAAAGACCATACACCTGCAAGGCCTAAAATATTTTACTCTTCAAACCTTTACAGAAAAGTGCCAGCTCCTGCTCTAAAGCAACAGCCTAATTTATAAGGCTGGCAGAAAAGGAGAATATATGGAT
Source organism: Homo sapiens (assembly GCF_000001405.40). NCBI lineage: Eukaryota > Metazoa > Chordata > Mammalia > Primates > Hominidae > Homo > Homo sapiens. The sequence goes on along the minus strand of NT_187605.1, from coordinate 87,820 downwards.
CTACAAAATAAGCAAAGACTTAGAAATAAAAAGTATGGAATGTATTTTACAAAGGTCTGACCACAGTTACCATAGAAAAACAATTTCCCACTCTGTATAGAGGGAGAGTATATGGATAAATAATACATTATTAATAAATAGTCATATATTAAATAAATCTCATTTGGTTTTCTTGATGTAAAATTATACCAAAAATTTAAAAATCAGTTTGCATTTTAAAAGATTGCTAGAAGTGAAGTTTGGCTTTACAGAGCAAAGTATACAGGAAGAAAAACTCTGTCATACCAAGGCAGCTACAATTTGCTAAGCAGAGTAACACAGAGGAGGGAACTTCACAGAAACTTACAAACATCTACAAAGGGATTCTCTCAAGGCTGTGGCTGAGTACTAATCTGCACATGCATGCAGTGAAACTCGTCAAGGCCAGAGAAAGAACCTCCAGAAATCAATAGACTGAACAATTTCTGGAGCTCACACAAGGCTGGGAATAATTTTCAATCTTGCCAACCAGAATGGAAAAATGTCGTAATATGTCAACGTCAGGTAGGGTAATCAGAAGGGTATATTACTTTAGAAAATGGGCTAAGTTAGCCCTAGATTAAAGGCTGCTCTTGAGCCACTCTAACTAGGCTTTATTTAAGCCTCAGAAGGAACAAAATGATGTCATACCATGTTAACTGCATGCCAGAGTTAAATTCAATAGAACTGAAAGAACTACAACAAAATCCAGCAAATACAAAATTCACCAATATGAATTCATCAGTACAAACAATATGAAATTCATCATATTTGGCATCCAGTAAAAAATTACCAACCAGAAGAGACAAATCTCCAGGGCAGCAAAATTTCAAATAATTTACATTAATACACTACCCTCAGGGAGAGGGAGCATAACTATCCCCTCCTTAAGCGTGGGCTGTGCACAATGACTGCCTTCCAAAGTATACAAGTATAGAAGGAGGGAAAAAGAGTACAGTGGAGAAACCTGACAGACACTTCCTCAGCCAGGTGATTAAAGTCAACATCAATAGTCATAAATCATGTTGACGGTATGAACACTTAATGTGATGTGATGACAATGACACTTTAATGCTACTGTCTTCCTCTCCCAATTAATAACCCAAATTTTATGAGGAAAACATCAAACAAATTGCAATAGTGCAGCATCCTTACAAAATATATGACCAGTACTCCTCAAAACTATCTAAGTCATAAAAAATAAGGCAAGCCTGAGAAACTGTCACAGCCAAGGGGCACCTAAAGAAAATGACAACTTAGTGTAATGTGGCACCTTAGATGGAAACCTAAAACAGAAAAATGACATTAGGTAAAAACTAAGAAAATCTAAAGGAACTATGGATTTCAGTTAATAATGTATCAATTTGGTTCATTAGTTGTTAAAAATGTTAAATCTAAGATGTTAATAATAGAGAAAAGTGAGGATGGGGCATATAAAAAACTCTATACTATCTTCTCAGTTTTTCTGTAAAATTAAAAAATCTAAAAGTGTCCTAAAAAATAAAGCCCATTAAAAAGAAAAAGATTACTAGCCATACAAAGCAGCAGGAAAATATGACTCTCAGGAGAACAATCAAACAATAAAATCAGGCCCAGAAATGACAATGATGATAGAATTAGCAGACAAGGATATTAAAATGGATAAATGTCTTCCATTTTTTCAAGAATGTAGAGGAAGGCATGAACATGGTGAGAAGAGATAAGAAAGATATAAAAAGACCCAAATGAAACTTCTAGAAATGAAATGTATATAAAATGAAAATATCTTGAACAATATTAACAGAAGGTTAGACCATGCAGAAGAAAAGATGAGAACTTGAATAACAATAGAAACCATTTAAAATAAAGTGTGAGGTGAAAAAAGGCTAAAAAAGTACTGAATATCGATGACATGAGACAACTTGACAATATCAAGTTGTCTAAAATATGTAAAATTAGACTCCAAGAAGGAGAGGAGAAAAGGGGTTGGTAAAAAAGTATTTGAAGAAATACCAGCTGATATTATTCAAAATTTGATGAAAATTATAAACCCTTAGATCCAAGCAGCTCAATGACGCACAAGCAGAATAAATACAAAGAAAATCACACCAAGACCACGTATAATCAAATTGATGGAAGCAAGTGACAAAAAGCAAGTCCTAAAATTAGCCAGAGATGGCCAGGTGCGGTGGCTCACGCCTGTAATCCCAGTACTTTGGGAGGCCGAGGCGGGCAGATCACGAGGTCAGGTGATCGAGACCATCCTGGCTAACATGGTGAAACCCCATCTCTACTAAAAATGCAAAAAAATTAGCCGGGCGTGGTGGCGGGCACCTGTAGTCCCAGCTATTTGGGAGGCTGAGGCAGGAGAATGGCGTGAACCTGGGAGGCGGAGCTTGCAGTGAGCCGAGATCGCACCACACTCCAGCCTGGGTGACAGAGTGAGACTCCATCTCAAAAAAATAAATAAATAAAAATAAATTGAAAAGGCAAGCCATGGAGTGAGAAAAAATATTTAAGAAACATATATCTGATAAAGGATTTGTATCCTTTACAACTTAATAATACAACAATTTAACAAAAATATAGACAAAAGTTTGAACACAACCAAAAAAATATATGAATGGCAAGGAAGCACCTGAAAGGACGCTCAACAGGATTGCTCATTAGGGATATGCAGCCGGGCACCACGGCTCATGCCTGTAATTTCAACACTTTAGGAGGCTGAGGTGGATGGATCACTTAAGGCCAGGAGTTCAAGATCAGCCTGGCCAACATGGCAAAACCTCATCTCTACTAAAAATACAAAAATTAGCTAGGCATGGCAGTGCGCGCCTGTAATTCCAGCTACTGGGGAGTCTGAGGCGCAAGAATCACTTGAGCTTCGGAGGCAGAGGTTGCAGTGAGTTGAGATGCACCACTGTACTCTAGCCTGGACATCAGAGTGAGACTCTGTCCCACCCTCCCACCAAAACAAGAGATATACAAATTAAAACCACAATAAGATACTACTATACATTCAATAAAATGGTTTAAATTAAAAAGATTGACAATATCAAGTTTTGGAAAGGATATAGAGAAACTGGGATTTTCACTAATTGCAGGATGGATAAAACTACCATGGACTACCCCATGTCCATCAACTGGGAAATGAATAAGTAAACTGAATAAATAATCATGATTATTGATACATGGAACAACATAAGTGCTCAAAAAGCATTATGCGGCCTGGCGCAGTGGCTCACACCTGTAATCCCAGCACTTTGGGAGGCTGAGGCGGGCAGATCACGAGGTCAGGAGATCGAGACCATCCTGGCTAACAGGGTGAAACCCCGTCTCTACTGAAAATATAAAAAAATTAGCCGGGCATGGTGGCAGGCGCCTGTAGTCCCAGCTACTCGGGAGGCTGAGGCAGGAGAATGGCATGAACCCTGGAGGCAGAGCTTGCAGTGAGCAGAGATGGCACCACTGCACTCCAGCCTGGGCAACAGAGCGAGACTCCATCTCAAAAAAAAAAAAAATTATGCTAAGTGAAAAAAACCAGAAGACACAAAACACTACATAATGTATGCTATCACTTAGACAAAAATTTAGAAAAGACACATTTAAAGTGAAATAAAACATGTCAGTGAATGTTAGAGGCTGAGAGTAGAAGGAAGAGATTGATTTCAAAGGGGCATGTAGGAACTTTTTGGAGTGATAAAAATCTTCTATATTTTGATTATGGAGAGGTTTACCTAAGTGTATATATACATCAGAACTCATCAAATTGTGCCCTTAAAATTGGATAATTTTACTCTATGTTAACTATATCTCAGTATAGTTGATTTTTCTTCAATGTCAATTACCTGGAAAAATTTGCGATTTTTCATTAAATCAGGGATATATTTGTGATTTCTCATTAAATCAATAACCATAAACAATAATAATAATGATGAGTCTATGAATTCTATAAAAACTCTATTTAGAATTTTATTTCTATAAAGATTTTTATTTAGAACTTTATTTGATGTTCTTGAAATGCCATGTGTGTTATTTTATCTTGCTCAGTCCTTTGGTATCTACAGGAACACAAAAACTTAGTGTCCTTCTTAGGTATGTTTATTTAAATTATTGGTTTTCTTCTGAAGCACTGAAGATCTAAACAATCTTCTAAAATGTTCTACGCTATGAACATCAAGCACAAAAGAAACTGTAAAGACCCAGTGTACATAAAAAGAGTATGTTCAGAAACCTCCTCCTTCTTCAGAGAAGCCCCTGGGATTCATATAGCTGATTTAGCAAAACAAGATAAAATTTTGGCTGTTGCCACATTTCATAAATCAGTCAAAATCATATGCTAAGAAGTAATCCTGATATCAAACTCATATCTATTTACCAGCACAAAGTCATAAATTCTTAGGTCATGGTACTAGAAGAAATTCAGTCATACCAACTAGCCTCCTTTTGGCCAAACTGTACCCCTTCCCTATCCCAGACTGTAAAAACTTAATTAGGGCCACAGAAGAAGTCCCACAGATTAAACGTAGATTAGGAGCCTCAAGAACCAATAGTTACTACCCACTGATACCTGGGCAGAGAGTGTCCTGCATTTCCCTCCATACCATGTACTGGATAGGACCTTTGTACTGGCCCAGGTTCAGCTTTCTGGAAATAAGCTCTCTGGTTGCCAGCACCTTCATTCCTTGCTCCAAGCTGCAGGGCACATAAATCATTTATCCTTAGACATCCTCCAGAGACTCAAGGAATGATATTAATAGTACCATAGGGAAACACTTACCTATGTAAGAGAGTTGTGATGTCCTAGAAGAAAGGAGAAAGAGAGACATCAGATGCCCGTTCATCAACTCTCAAAATTTCTTTGGTGATACCAGCCACCACCAGAATTTGTGCAGATGGTCCCGAACTCATCTCTACCAACTTCTTTCATCCTTCATACACTTTTTCTAATCTTCATCCCTGATCCTAACCCAGGTTAAATTGATCTTTTGCTCTTTCTAGAGTTCTCTTCTACAGGGAGCAAGACAGAAGCCAATAAGACAATACTTAAGGTTAAGCTATCTTTACCTATACTTTCAAATAGTCTCAGAAGAAAAACACATTAGGTATCCCAGTCCCAAGGCCACTTTTCCTTACTCTAGCTAATTAAACTTCTGAGTGCTGAGATGGTAACCAACGCTTCTTTAGAGGTGAAGCTTAAGAAAGCAAAGGTTAGAAAACAGCTTTTCAGACAGGTCAGCTTATGATTGCTGAGAGCCAAAGATACAACTCAGGCTGCAACATTTTTATTTTTGAGAAATAAAGCATCAAGCTCTTTATGGAAAAATATTAAACCATTACTATATACTATTATTAATGGAATTTAAAAATCATATTTCCTAAGAGGATGAAAGTAAAGCTTTCTGCTGTGCGTATAGCTGAAGCAGCCTCCTCCTTTTCTTCCAGAGAATCTTAAAAGCACTATAACAGTTTTGTTTTGTTTTGTTTTGTTTTCCCTGGATGTGAAAAGCCACTTCCGCATTCTTTCCAAACCTCTTCCCCCCTCTAGGTAGGAAGGTACCCATAATCATATTGGTGTGGATTCTCACTTTGAGAAAGTCGAAGGAGTTCTGTTGTTCCGTCTTTGCCTGAATGCTCACCAACATATCCTTGGCTAAGAGACATTGCTCCTGAAGCTGGCTCAGATTCAACTCCATCTCCTCATTCAAGGCTTTCCCCTCTTCCCGGAGCTCAGTTAAAATGTCCTTTTCTTTGCTGTGCAGGAACTGATGCAGCTTTAGAAACTCCATGGACACATGTTGCTGCAGATGTAGCTTGTTTTCCTGGAAACCTCCATGATTATCACCATGGTTATTGCAGAGACTAGTGCTTGGGGATGGGGGCCCACACCACCAACACTCACACACTTGGTAAATACCATCACAGAAAAATGCATACAAATGGCTACTGAATATCAAATTCAGTCATACTAAAATGAGTCCTTTGGGAGACTTACTCCTTTTCCAACTAATTTAATAGTTCAGGATGAAATAGGCAAAAGTGACCTCCAGTTTCCTATTGCAGTACTGAGATGGTAACCAATGCCATATTAAATAAGACTGTGGAGTTAGTCAAACATTCTAGAATGAAAGATAATACCCTCCTAGATTGGTAATCCAAAAGCTGCCAAGTGGTACTGTTAGACTGGGGGTATTGGGAGGCTGGAAGAACTGTCCTTACCTAGAAATCAGAACTGGGGGAATGCCACTGTTACACTTGCAGCTTTTTCCTTGGGTTACCTCAACATCCTCACAGTTAAACTATTTGACATCCTGGCTTCTCAGTTCCTCATTCTCCTCATTTCTAGTGATTTCCACATTTATTGATTCATTCCTATAGTCTCACCTAGGATTTTATCACCCCCAGCAATTGTATCATCTCCAAAATAACTTTTTATGCACCAGGCTCACTCAGATACTCCTATTGCAACAATTATTGGATCTCATTGAAACCTCCTATTCACCGATCCCTCCATTTCTATTCAGGAACTTCTACCTTCATGTCCTCTCTTATCTAGCTTGGATCCCATGGTCCATAATTATTATTGCACCTTAAGATAGTCTTGGCTGGGCACAGTGGCTCATACCTGTAATTCCAACACTTATAGAGGCCAAGCTGGGAGGATTGCTTGGAACAGGAGTTCAAGACTGGGCAACATAGTGAGACCCAGTCTCTCCAAAAATAAAATAATTAGCCATGTGTGGCAAACTAGTCCCAGATACTCAGGAGGCTGAGGTGGGAAGATCTCTTGAGCCCAAGAGTATGAGGTTACAGTGAGCCCATATCCACCTCATCAATATCATCTTGCTTAGCATGTTCCAGCTTTATTGGCCTTTTCTCTGTTTAACATAGCAGCTAACTTTCCATCTCAGGACTTTTCCAGATACTCTTTTCTATTCCTAGAACATTCTTCTCCAGGCTACCTCCTTCATATCCCCACTCACCCAGTTCACTTGGATAAGTTACTTATCCTTCAATTCTCAATTTTTAATGTGACTTCTTCAGAGAACACCCCTCCCCCAGTCTAGATTATGTTCTCCATTTATATGCTATCATCATACCCTATACTTTCAGTTATAGTACTTATCACAGTTGTTATTTTATTATTACTCATGGGATTATTTAATTAACAGCTGTCTCCCATCCCCAATATCTAGTATTATGCCTGACCCACTCAATAAATATTTGTTAAATGAATGGATGAATGCTCACACTAATAGGAACTTTTACAAAAGGAACAAGATTTTCTGAAGACATCATTACTTCCATATATCCTTCTTCTTTCCCTGAGTCTGCATATTTTTTTCTTCCAGATGCCAAATACCTGAGAAGGCTCTTCTCCATAGAATAATGAATAAAGAAACAGAACTTCCAATTTAGCACCCCCAATCTAGGGACTGATTTGCCAAAGCTCTAGCCATTAATGTTGTCCTAGAGTGCCTATGAAGTTGAAAGTGCAGACAATAGCTTTATTTAGCTTGGAGGAAGCTAAGAAGATCAAATCAGCTGGGAAAAGCCTATGACCTTAGAGACCTAGTCCAGAGGTGTCTGGTTATAAACTCAAAGGAAATAAAGGTATTTCTTTGGACATAGCAATCTTTAGTGATTGATTTTTTTCTAATAAGTTCCTTTTTTTTTTTTGCCATAGATAAAGCCAAAGACCAGACACATTTCAACGCCACGACAGTCACCTGGTGACTGAACTATCGAAAAGATCAGCATATTAGGGGAAAGGTTAATCTGCTCTGTTGATCAGCTATTAGGAACCTACTCCACCACCATATTCCTTTCCACCCTACAGACTCAGTTTTCCAATTCCATAGCCTAGGTACCATTTAGTGTGTTGATAATATATGTTAGGCACCTTTGTACCCATAGCTGAAGTTACATGGAGGGTGTGTTCCAGTTCTATCTCATAACCCCTCTTTCTTGCTCCTCACCTTGTGAGCAGCAATAGCTTCCTTCTGCATGTTCCTCAGGGTCTGAAGCTCCTTCAGAGTTGTCTCCAGTTGACCCTGTTGGATGGCAAGCTCCTCCTGGGAATATCAAATAGAATTAACCCAGACTAACTCGGGAGATGAAGGACCATAAAGGACATCTTCCCCAAGGCCCCAGTGTGCAAGAAAAAAGCAAGCTCTTGCTGCAAAAATCTTCCCCTTCCCCTGTATCATAGTTCTTGTCTCGTTCAAGAATTGTGAAAAAGAAAAGAAAAGGCCGGGTGTGGCAGCTCACATCTGTAATCTCAGCACTTTGGGAGACTGAGATGGGAGGATCACTTGGGCCCAGGAGTTTGAGACCAGCCTGGGCAACATAGTGAGACCCATCTCAAAACAAAGAAAAAAAAAGAATTATGGAGTAAATTACAGCTTAAAACTTAGTTTTTCTCTCTTAGTAGCTAGCTACAGGGATTTGAAGAAGGGAATAGAACTCTACACATTTTCCACTCTAGTTATATACTGTTCTCAGCATCTATCATTTTACTTGTGTTGTTCTCACTTGGAACATTTGTTTCTTCCTTCTGCCCTTCAAAATCCAAATGATTTCCCAGTTCAAGTCCTTTCCCTTTCTTTCACTATATGTCCCCTATTTCATTTTTCTCTAATAGTCTCAGAAATTCTAAACCCTTAAGAATTACAAATGTGACAAAATTTAACTTTTAACACGAGGCTATCTTAATATTGCTTCTGTTGTTTTCTTCATTTTAAACTTAACCAAATTTTGAATTTTTTATAACAAGAGCAATATCTTATCTATCCATATTCTACACAGTGTTTAGCAGAGTGCTACCATGGCAGAGTTTAGGTACAGATTTGATTGAGGGAGTAAGCCAGGGCTCCTCCACTGTTCCTTTCCTATAAGCAGCAACTCTAGAAAAAGAACTTTGCAAGATACGTTGTACTTTCTGAGCAGTCTGGGCTTTCTAATCATCATTTGAATAAAGGGATGGGGTTGGAAGAAAGAAGAAGCCCTATGAAATATTTTTCCTAGTTTTTCTAAGGGATTGTTCAAGGCCCAGGGCTCACCCACCGTGAAGAAATGGACAGCATCAGAGATTTGCAGGAACTCCTTAGACTGCCCCACAGACAACCGAGCATCCTTGCATTGAAAGCAGATCAGTTTCCCATCTGGTTTACTGAACAGTTTCAGGTTCTCTCCATGCTCTGGGCACTGTGGATGGCCCTTGAGTAAGGGTAACTTCTTAATCTTCTCTACCAACTTGTCCAGTACAGGGTTGAATGTACAGTTGTTATACTGACATAGCATCTTACACTCAGGACAGAATGTTTCCTTTGCTTGCAGCCTCCAAAAGTCTTGGATACAGGCTTCACAGAAGTTGTGGCCACAGCTTAGCATCAGTGGGTCTCGGAACCAATCATTGCACAGAGGGCAGTGTAGCTCCATAGTAATATCTTGTATCACCACTTTAGAGGGTAGGTGGGTGATTGAATCATTCATTTCAACATAGTCGCCTGGATTGATGTTGGAGGAGGGGTTGGTGGATACCTTTAGAAAAGAACAGCTAAAATGAGTTTATCTTTCTTGTTGCCCATTTTAACACTCCAGGATGATGGCGCCATTCCTAAAGGAGCTGAAAATTGGTACAACTAAAGTAAAAGCACATAATCTCTCCTTTGAAAGTGAACCAGTAACTTGAGTGTTTTCTGAAATTATAGCGTATGATGCTATTTAAACTTTAATAAAGAATCAAGGCAGAGGAAGAAACAGTACTAAATCAAAGAAATGTACTTTGTTGTACATCTCTCTCTTTACCCACTTTCCCCAAGTGTCTTTTGAAAGTTTTATTTTTCAACTTCTGCTCTACTAGTTATTACCTTTATTTTATTTTTGTTTTCTAGAAATTATATACAAAGAATTGGAAAATCAATCAGATTCCTTAGTCAGTAGTGTGATATCGTCAACCATCCAGGGTCCCCTTCACTCCTTTTTAAAAAAACACATTTCAGGCCAGGCGCAGTGGCTCATGCCTGTAATCCCAGCATTTTGGGAGGCCAAGGCGGGCAGATCACGAGGTCAGGAGATTTAGACCATCCTGGCTAACACAGGATGGTTAGCCATCTCTACTAAAAATCTCTACTAAAAATACAAAAATTAGCTGGGTGTGGTGGCAGGCGCCTGTAATCCTAGCTACTTGGGAGGCTGAGGCAGAAGAATTGCTTGAACCCAGGAGGCAGAGGTTGCAGTAAGCCAAGACCACGCCATTGCACTCTAGCCTGGGCAACAACAATGACACTCCATCTCAGAAAAAAAAAAAAAAAAAGGAATGACCAACAATGAACTGAGCCTAAGAGATCCACAAGACACTATCAAACAGACATAATAAGAATTTCAGAAAGAAAGGAGAAAAATGCAGAAAGAATGTTTGAAGCAGCCGGGCACTGCGGCTCAAGCCTGTAATCCCAATACTTTGGGGTGCCGAGGCAGGTGGACCACCTGAGGTCAGGAGTTAGAGACCAGCCTGGCCAACATGGTGAAACCCTGTCTCTACTAAAAATACAAAAAATTAGCTGGTCATGGCGGCAGGCACTGGTAATCCCTGCTACTTGGGAGGTTGAGACAGGAGAATTGCTTGACCTGGGAGGTGGAGGTTATAGTAAGCTGAGATCACTCCACTGCACCCCAGCTTGGGCAACAAGAGTGAAACTCTGTCTCAAAAAAAAAAATTTTTGAAAAAGTAATGGCTGAAAACTTCCAAAATATGATGAAATTTTACATCCAAGAAGCTCAACAAACTCCAAGCAGGATAAATTCAAAGAGATCCACAATGAGACACATTATAATTGAAGTGTCCAATGACAAGGAAGGAATCTTGAAAGCAGCAAGAGAGAAATGACTCTTCACATACAAGGGATTCTCAGTAAGATTACTAGCTGATTTCTTTTCAGAAAATATGAAAGCCAAGAAGGAGAGAGATGACATATCTGAACTGCCGAAAGAAAAAAACTGTTAACTAAGAGTTCTGTATCCAGCCAGGCACAGTAGCTCACACCTGTAATCCCAACACTTTGGGAGGCCAAGGTGGGCAGATCATTTGAGCCCAGGAACAACATGGCAAGACCCTGTTTCTACTTTTTTTTAATTAAAATTTTTTAAAAATAAAGAATTATATATTCATGAAAAGAGGAATTAAGACATTCCCAGATAAACAAAAACTGAAGGAGTTGTCTAGTAGTCTTAATCTACAAAAAATGCTAGTAGATCTGCTCTAGAAGAAATGCTAAAAGGAGTCCTACATGTTGAAATGAAAGGAAACTAGGAAGTATCTCCAAGCCATATAAAGAAGTAGAGACCAGTGAAAAAGTAGCTACATAGGTAAAGTCCAATATTGCAGTTTTTGGTTTCTAACTCCTCTTTTTCCCCTATTCAATATAAAAGACAAATGCACAAAACAATAGTTATGTGTGTTAATGGATATGCAATGTATAAAGAGATAATTGGTGATAATAACAACAAAAAGGAGAAAACAGAGCTGAAAAGGAGCAGAGTTTTTATAGTAAAATTTTTTGCTTTGTACTATTAAAACTAAGTTGGCATTAATTCACCCTAGATCGTTATAAAGTTGACTAATTATAACCCCCTGGGTAACTACTAAAGAAAAAACTACTAAGCAATATAAAGAAAAAGAAAAGAGAAGAATCAAAATGTTATGCTAGAAAAAAATCAGTTAATCACAAAAAAGGGAAGTAATGAAGGAATTTAGAAACAAAAAAGCACATATAGAAAATAACAAAATGGCATAGGTAAGTCTTTATCAGTAATTACTTTAGACGAAATAGATTAACTTCTGATTAAAAGGCACAGATTAGGAAAATGGATAAAAATAATATGACCCAACTATAGGCTGTCTACAGGAGACTCACCTTAGAACCAAATACACAAACAAGTTGAAAGTAAAAAGTTGGAAAGACAATCCATACAAATAGTTACCCAAAAAAGATGGAGTAGCTCTACTAATATCAAGTAAAATAGACTTTAAGATAAAAATTGTTAAACTTGTTACAAGAATACAAAGAAGGATATTATCAAGGATATGATATAAAGGTCAATCAATCAAGAAGATAAAACAATTATAAACATATACACACCCAACAACAGAGCCTCAAAATACGTGTAGCAAAAAGAGACAGATGTGAAGATAGAAATAGTTCTAAAAAATCGTACAAAATATCTCTGACTACAATGGAATGAAACTAGAAATCAATAACAGAAGAAAAACTGGAAAATTCATAAATATGTGAAAATTAAACAACACACTCTTAACTAATTGGTCAAAGAAGAAATTATAAGTAATATTAGAAAATACTTTGAGATGAGTAAAAACAAAAATACAGGCTGTGCACAGTGGCTCACACCTCTAATCCCAGCACTTTGGGAGGCTGAGGCAGGCCAATCACTTGAGCTCAGGAGCTTGAGACCAGCCTGGGCAACCTAGTGAAACCCTGTCTCTACCAAAAATACAAAAAGAAAAAAAAAAAATTGGCCATAATGGAACATGTCCGTGGTCCCAGCTACTGGGAAGGCTGAAGTAGGTGGATCACCTGAACCCAGGAAGTGGAGGTTGCAGTGAGTCAAGATCACATCTACACACTCCAGCATGGGTGACAAAACAAAACCCTGTCTCAAAAACAAATAAACAAAAACACACAGCATGTCAAAACTTATGGGATACAATGAAAATAGTGCTAACAAGGAAAGTTATAGCTATAAACACCTACATCAAAAAAGAAAGACCACAAATCAATAGCCAAAATTTTCCCTAGAACTGGAAAGAGAGGTACAAGCTAAACCAAAGATAGCAGAAGGAAAGAGTAAAGAATAGAGGCAGAGCATGGTGGCTCATGCCTGTAATCCCAGCATTTTGGGAGGCCAAAGCAGAAGGATCACTTGAACCCAGGAGTTTGAGACCAGCCTGGGCAACACAGTAAGATGTCATCTCTACTAAAAATTATAAATAATAATTTTTTTAAAAGGCCAGGTGTGGTGGCTCATGCCTGTAATCCTAGCACTTTGGGAGGCCGAGGTGGGCAGATCACCTGAGGTCAGGAGTTCAAGACCAGCCTGGCCAATGTGGTGAAACCCCATCTCTACTAAAAATACAAAAATTAGCTGGGCGTGGTAGCGAGCACCTGTAATCCCAGCTACTCGGGAGGCTGAGGCAGGAGAATTGCTTGAACCTGGGAGGGGGAGGTTGCAGTGAGCTGAGATCGTGCCATTGTACTCCAGCCTGGGCGACAGAGCGAGACTCCATCTAAAAAGAAAAAAAAAAGTTAGGTGTGGTGCATGCACCTGTAATTCCAGCTATTTGGGAGACTGAGGTGGGAGAATCACGTGAGCCTGGGAGGTCCAGGCTGCAGTGGGCCATGATTGTTCCACTGCACTGTAGCCTGGGCAGCAGAGTGAGGCCATGTCTCAAAAAAAAAAAAAAAAAAAAAAAGGCAAAAGAAAAGAAACAAAATAGAAAATAGAAAAACAATCTACTAAAAAGATAAAAAATCAGCCAGGCGTGGTGGCAGGCGCCTGTAGTCCCAGCTACTCGGGAGGCTGAGGCAGGAGAATGGAGTTAACCCAGGAGGCAGAGCTTGCAGTGAGCCAAGATCGCGCCACTGCACTCCAGCCTGGGTAACAGAGTGAGACTCCGTCTCAAAAAAAAAAAAAAAAAAAAAAAAAAAAAAGAAAAATTAATGAAATAAAAATGCGATTCTTTGGAGGGAAAATCCACAAAATTTAGAAACCATTAAGTAGACTGATGAAGAAAAAAAGAGAGAAGATTTAAATTACTAAAATCAGAAATGAAAGTGGGTAAATTAGTACAGATCTTACAGAAATAAAAAAGGATTATAAGAAACTATGAACAATTGTATGCCAACAAATGAACAACCCAGATGAGATGGAAAATTTCCAGAAGCACACCAACTACCAAAACTGACTCAAGAAGAAACAGAAAATCTGAACAGACCTACAAAAGTAAAGAGAGTAGATCAGTAATCAAAATCCTCCCAACAAAGAAAAGCCCAGGACCAGACGGTTTCACTGGTAATCCTGCCCACTATTTAAAGAATTAATATCAATCCTTCTCAAACTCTTCCAAAAAAACAAGAGGGAACACTTCCTAATTCATTCTGTGAGGATAGCTTATCTTGGTCCTAAAGACAGATAAAGACATCACAAAAAACAAACTATTTTTAGTTTTCTTTTTGCAAAAGAGTGAAAAGACAACTCACAGAATGGAAGAAAATATTTGCAAATCCTATACCAGATAAGGTCTATTATCCAGAATAAAGAACTCTTACAACTCAATAGCAAAAAATAAACAACCCAATTTTTAAAATGGACAAAGGACTTGAATAGACAATTATGCAAAGAAGATAAACAAATGACCAACAAGCACATGGAAAGATACTTAGTATTACTAGTCATTAGGAAAATTCAAATCGAAGCCACAGTGAAATACCACTTCACACTCACTTGTATTGCCGTAATTTTTTAATGGAAAACAATAAGTATTGGTGATACAGAGAAATGGACTCTTGTACATTGTTAATTGAGAATATAAATTGGTGCAACCACTGTGGAAATCAGTTTGGCAGTTCCTCAAAAAATTAAACAAAAAACTACCATAAGACAGACCTACCAATTCCACTTCTAGGAATATACCCAAAAGAACTGAAAACAGATAGTCAAACAAAAACTTGTACCTAAATGTTAATAGCAGCACTATTCACAATAGGCACAGGTGGAAGCAATCCAAATGCACATTAACTAATGAATGGAAAAGTGTGCCATATTCATACAATGGAAGATTATTCAGTCAGAAAAGGGAATAAAGTATTCATACATGCTACAACATGGATGAACCTCAAAAACATTATGCTAAGTGAAAAAACCCAGACACAAAAGGTCACATATTACACGATTCCATTTATATCAAATATACAGAATAGGTAAGTCTATAGAGACAGCAGATCATTGGTTGCCAGGGCTGGAGAGAAGGAGATATGGGGAGTGACTGCTCATATCACTGGAAGTGACTGGTCATGGGGTTTCCTTTTGGGAGGACGAAAATGTTTTGAAACTAGATAGAGGTGATTATTATACACCATTGTGAACGCACTAAATGCCACTGAATTGTACATCTTAAAAGATTAATTTTATGTTGTATGAATTTTACCTCAATTTTTGAAAAAATGGAAGCTGTAGGCCAAGCATGATGGCTCACGCCTGTAATCCCAGCACTTTGGGAGGCCAAGGCAAAGCTTGATCGCTTGAGCCCAGGAATTTGAGACCAGCGTGAGCAACATGGTGAAACCCTGTCTCTACCGGAAAAAACAAAAACAAAAACAAAAACTGGGTGTGGTGTCACGTGCCTGTAATCCCGGCTACTCGGAAGGCTGAGGCTGGAGAATCGCTTGAACCTGGACTGTTAAGGCTGCAGTGAGCCTAGATCATGCCACTGCACTCTAGCCTGGGCGACAAAGTAAGACCCTATCTCAAAAAATTAATAATACTAAACTGAAGCCATTTGACTCCGGAGCCAGAATTTTTTTTTTTTTTTTTTTTTTTTTGAGACAAAGTCTCACTCTGTCGCCCAGGCTGGAGTGTAATGGCATGATCTTGGCTCACTGCAACCTCTGCCTCCCAGGTTCAAGCGAGTCTTCTGTCTCAGACTCCCGAGTAGCTGGGATTACAGGCATGCGTCACCATGCCTGGCTAATTTTTTGTATTTTTAGTGGAGACAGAGTTTCACCATGTTGGCCAGGCTGGTCTCGAACTCCTGACCTCAAGTGATCCACTCACCTTGGCCTCCCAAAGTGCTGAGATTACAGGCATGAGCCACCACGCCCAGCCCAGAGCCAGAATTTTTATACTGAATAATATCCTGCTTTGCAGAATGCTATATAATGCCTTCCAGGGTGGGCTACTATTTGATGAATAGCCACCAGAAGTGGCCACCAGAAGTGGCTTCAATCTCAGTGCCTAAAGGTCTAATGGTGTAAATAAACATTCAGTGATGGCAGCTTTGTTTCTATGCCCATACTTCCTGGGTCATAGAAATGAATAACATAGAGGCTCTGCCCAAGAGCTGCTCACATCTGGACCTCCACTACATTTATGGGACCAGGACAAAGTGCAACTAGAAGTCCCTAGCTTCTACTTTTCAACTTGCATATCATCTTCCTCTGAAGGATAAAAAACTTAAATATAGACAGAAGATGTATTCTGAGGCAAAATCCCTGAGAGTTTGTCCAGAGGTTACTCTTCTGTTCTTGAGAGGAAAACTGGAGCTCAGAGGAGTACGAACTTGCTCTGACACTCAAGTCACTGGTGAAATCAGGGAATTCAAAGAACTCTATCCTGAAGGCCAGAGCAATTTCCATCTGCTATATATCCACTTGAGAATTGGAGTATCCAGAACTGCTCTGTTCCTCATTCCTAACCCTGCCCATTCCTCGTTAGAAGTTTACATTTACCTCTCCTTATGGGCTTAGTTTCCCTTATATTCAGATTTATTCTAGCCAGGGGAACATGGCTAAACATTCTTTGCCTCATGATCAAATTCCATTCTCATTAATAACTATTTATATTGCCCTCATTCCATGTCTACATTCTCACTTTTGTTGTGAAAATGCTTTTGATTGAGTCTGTAGCCCTTTGCTCCATAGTTTCTCACATAGCCTGTGTTCCCTATTGCTGATGCCTGATCTCCCCAAACCTGGGTCTTGCCTGTCTGGACCTAATACGGCCATCTTCTCTTTGAATGTTGCCTTTCAACCATTCTCTGTAGCCTCTTTTTCTGAAATTCCTATCAGACAGATGTTGACGCTTCTCACTCCAGTCTTTATTTCTATTAATTTCTTTTTCATATCTTCTAACTCCATAACTTTCTGTGCTTTGCTTTGGACATTTTCTCCCATTTTGTTGTTTTATAGATGCTATTTATTTTGTATTTCTTTAAACACCTTTGAATGAGGTGAGTTCTTCCTGAATCAGCTATTTGCAAGAGACTTGTATGAGGATGGAGGCAGGGTTATATTTGAGGCTATTTTCTTTATAAAACAATGTTTGCATGGGTTCTTTTTTCCCCATGATCAACACTGCAGGGTTGTTTGCAATGCAGAGTCTCTCTCCTCCATTCTACCTCAGCAACAGACTGCTTTCTGAAAATATGGCATATTTGTCCTTGTTCAACTTCACCTTTCCCATATCTCAAATCTGTATAACAAATGGGTTACTCCAGCTTAAGCCTGCTTGCCTGTTCTCTTTGTTCTGTACCAGGGCTTGTGGGTTGTGGCCAACAGGATGGGGTACTTTCTTTGGAAAAGTACCACCTCCCTTCATGTAAGGTCTGCTTCCCTAGGCATCCTTTCTCACATTCCTGCTTGACTTTCACTATATTTGGCAGTCCTTCCTCATAGATTGTAGTCCAAGCTATTTGATGTCTCTAGTTTCATTGCAAATTATTTGTCTATTTTTCATTCTCCTTGTGGTTTTTGACTTAAAGAAGGATGAGTTTCTAAGAGAAGGGAGAAAATTAGTTTTTAATCCACCATTTAAAAACTAACACTTAAATTGTTATTGACACTTTAACGTTTCTATATATTTAAAGAAAGATGTGTGTGTGTGTGTGTGTGTGTGTGTGCACGTGCACGTGCTGGGAGTGGGCAGAATATTTCAAATGTCCTCAATATATGAATTTGACTAGACTGGGTAATGGACTTTCAGCATTAATCAGTGTGGATGCCTTTCCTGAAAGATAACAAATTTACCTCCAGCCCACAGGAATGGGAATGCAAAGCCAATATTTAGTGTTATAGAAAATACTATGTGCTATTCTTTGCACACTTGAGTTTTAAACTAAGATTGATTTCTTTTTTTATATACAATTATTGGTTTATGCTATTATCTTTTAAAACTTTAGAAAAAAAAGAAGAGTTACAAACCAAAAATAGGTAGTTCTTTGATGAGTGCTTTTTTTATGTCTTTGTCTGGGTTCAAGTTATTGTCTAATGTCCCTTCATTTCAGCTTGAAGAAGTCCCTTTGTCATTTTTTGTAGGTAAGATCTACTAGAGATAAGCTCAGTTTTTGTCTGTCTGAGAATGTCTTAAATTCTTCTTCATATTGGAAAGATAGTTTGGCCAGATACAAAATTCTTTGTGGATTATTCAATTACTTTGAAGATGTCATCCCATTGCTCTCTGGCTTCCATGATTTCTGATGAAAAATTAGCTGTTAACTTATTGAGGCTCTCTTGTACATAAGTCACTTCACTCTTGCTACTTTTAAGATTATTTTTGGCTTTTAATAGTTTAATTATAACTTGGTGTGGCTCTCTGTTAACTTACATAGAGTTTGTTGAGCTTCTTTGATGTATAGCTTTATGCCTTTTGTCAAATTTCAAAAGTTTTAAACCATTATTTCCTTAAGCATTCTTTCTGTCCCCTTCTCTCCTCTCTTCTGGGACTCCAACTATGCATAACAGTCCCACAGGTTTCTGAGGCTCTGCTCATTTTTATTCATTCTTTTTTTTCCCTGATCTTCAGCATAATCTCAATTGACCTATTTTCAGTTTCATGAATTCTTTCTTTTGCCTGCTCAAATCTGATTTGAACACTTCTTGCGAATTTCTCATTTCAGTTATTATGCTTTTCAACACCATAATTTCTCTTTGGTTCCTTTTTATAACTTCTACATCTTTGCTGGTATTCACTATTTGGTGAGACATCAGTCTCATGGTTTCCTTATTTGCAAATTGTTTCCTTTAGCTATTTGAGAATATTTAAAATAATTGATATAAAATCTTTGTCTAGTGAGTCCAATGTCTGAGCTTCCTCAGGAATAGTTTCTATTAATTTCCTTTTCTCCTGTCCATGGGCCATATGTTCTTATTTATTTATACTTGTTGAATATCCGATACTTTGACAAGTATAATGTGAAATCTCTGGAAATCAGAATCTTCCACCTTCTCTGGGGTTTTTTGTTACTTCTTGTTGTAGTTGTTTTGTTTAGTTAGTGACTTTTCTAAACAAATTTTGTAAAGTCTGTATTCTTCGTCACATGTAGCTACTGAATTCTGTCCCATGAACTTAGTAGTCATCTAATAGTTCAACAGAGATTTCCTTAAATGCCTAGAATCAACCCAAATCAAACAACAACAACAACAAAAACCTCCCAGTCTTTGTAAATGGGCTTCGTATATGTTGAGCATGCCTTCAACACACAGTTTACAACTTCCTTAGTCCTCAGTTCCTGCTTACACAGATCCTAAAAGTCACTCCGAGAAGAAAACTTGGGGTCTTTCTCAGGTTTTTTTTTTTTTTTTAGTATGCACTCAGTCCTGGGCATGCAGTTGGCCTTCTAGATTACCAGGAATATGTGGGTACTTTTCAAAGGGTATTCCCCAAAATAACTCTTTCCCCAGCCTTTCTTTCTCAGCTTTTTGGTTACTCTATTGTTTGCCCCAACTATTATGCCTTTCCCCAGGTGGCAGCAATAAAAACATTTGCTTTTAAATGTTTCCAAACTATACCTCCAGGGTAGCCATCTCATCTGTGAAAAAGTTCTGAGTTAAACAAACTAATGGCAAGCCTTTTATGTAATACTTCATGGAAGCACCAGACAGGTCAAAGCCACAGTTCTTTGGGAATAAGGTCCATGCTGCTCCCACTTGTACTATGTACCTGTAGTTGGAATGTCAGCTGTCTTTAAAACCACCACCAAGATGGGAAATGAGGAAAACCTGAGTAAGTTAAAGTGTTAAAAAGTTATTTTACAGAGATTCAAGGTTTTATTTAATTATTATTAAATATTTCCCTGGTTGCTGTAAGCTTTTGATTAGTTTCAAGTTTTAAAAAACTCGATCTTCAAAATTTTTGCCAGTTTTTGTGGAGGGATGGACTTTGGGACTTCTCTACTCCACCATTTTTTTTATTATTATTATACTTTAAGTTTTAGGGTACATGTGCACAATGTGCAGGTTAGTTACATATGTATACATGTGCCATGTTGGTGTGCTGCACCCATTAACTCATCATTTAGCATTAGGTATATCTCCTAATGCTATCCCTCCCCCCTCCCCCCACCCCACAACAGTCCCCAGAGTGTGATGTTCCCCTTCCTGTGTCCATGTGTTCTCAGTGTTCAATTCCCACCTATGAGTGAGAACATGCAGTGTTTGGTTTTTTGTCCTTGCAATAGTTTACTGAGAATGATGATTTCCAATTTCATCCATGTCCCTAAAAAGGACATGAACTCATCATTTTTTATGGCTGCATAGTATTCCATGGTGTATATGTGCCACATTTTCGTAATCCAGTCTATCATTGTTGGACATTTGGGTTGGTTCCAAGTCTTTGCTATTGTGAATAGTGCCACAATAAACATACATGTGCATGTGTCTTTATAGCAGCATGATTTATAGTCCTTTGGGTATATACCCTGTAATGGGATTGCTGGGTCAAATGGTATTTCTAGTTCTAGATCCCTGAGGAATCACCACACTGACTTCCACAATGGTTGAACTAGTTTACAGTCCCACCAACAGTGTAAAAGTGTTCCTATTTATCCACATCCTCTGTAGCACCTGTTGTTTCCTGACTTTTCAATGATGCCATTCTAACTGGTGTGAGATGGTATCTCATTGTGGTTTTGATTTGCATTTCTCTGATGGCCAGTGATGGTGAGAATTTTTTCATGTGATTTTGGCTGCATAAATGTCTTCTGAGAAGTGTCTGTTCATGTCCTTTGCCCACTTTTTGATGGGGTTGTTTTTTTCTTGTAAATTTGTTTGAGTTCATTGTAGATTCTGGATATTAGCCCTTTGTCAGATGAGTAGGTTGCGAAAATTTTCTCCCATTTTGTAGATTGCCTGTTCACTCTGATGGTAGTTTCTTTTGCTGTGCAGAAGCTCTTTAGTTTAATTAGATCCCATTTGTCAATTTTGGCTTTTGTTGCCCTTGCTTTTGGTGTTTTAGACATGAAGTCCTTGCCCATGCCTATGTCCTGAATGGTAATGCCTAGGTTTTCTTCTAGGGTTTTTATGGTTTTAGGTCTAATGTTTAAGTCTTTAATCAGTCTTGAATTAATTTTTGTATAAGGTGTAAGGAAGGGATCCAGTTCCAGCTTTCTACATATGGCTAGCCAGTTTTCCCAGCACCATTTATGAAATAGGGAATCCTTTCCCCATTGCTTGTTTTTCTCAGGTTTCCAAAGGTTAGATAGTTGTAGATATGCGGCATTATTTCTGAGGGCTCTGTTCTGTTCCATTGATCTCTATCTCTGTTTTGGTACCAGTACCATGCTGTTTTGGTTACTGTAGCCTTGTAGTATAGTTTGAAGTCAGGTAGCATGATGCCTCTAGCTTTGTTCTTTTGGCTTAGGATTGACTTGGCGATGCGGGCTCTTTTTTGGTTCCATATGAACTTTAAAGTAGTTTTTTCCAATTCTGTGAAGAAAGTCATTGGTAGCTTGATGGGGATGGCATTGAATCTATAAATTACCTTGGGCAGTATGGCCATTTTCACGATACTGATTCTTCCTATCCATGAGCGTGGAATGTTCTTCCATTTGTTTGTGTCCTCTTTTATTTCATTGAGCAGTGGTTTGTAGTTCTCCTTGAAGAGGTCATTCACGTCCCTTGTAAGTTGGATTCCTAGGTATTTTATTCTCTTTGAAGCAATTGTGAATGGGAGTTCACTCATGATTTGGCTCTCTGTTTGTTATTGGTGTATAAGAATGCTTGTGATTTTTGCACATTGATTTTGTGTCCTGAGACTTTGCTGAAGTTGCTTATCAGCTTAAGGAGATTTTAGGCTGAGACAATGGGGTTTTCTAGATATACAATCATGTCATCTGCAAACAGGGACAATTTGACTTCCTCTTTTCCTAATTGAATACCCTTTATTTCCTTCTCCTGCCTAATTGCCCTAGCCAGAACTTTCAACACTATGTTGAATAGGAGTGGTGAGAGAGGGCATCCCTGTCTTGTGCCAGTTTTCAAAGGGAATGCTTCCAGTTTTTGCCCATTCAGTATGATATTGGCTGTGGGTTTGTCATAGATAGCTCTTATTATTTTGAGATACATCCCATCAATACCTAATTTATTGAGAGTTTTTAGCATGAAGCGTTGTTGAATTTTGTCAAAGGCCTTTTCTGCATCTATTGAGATAATCATGTGGTTTTTGTCTTTGGTTCTGTTTATATGCTGGATTACATTTATTGATTTGCGTATATTGAACCAGCCTTGCATCCCAGGGATGAAGCCCACTTGATCATGGTGGATAAGCTTTTTGATGTGCTGCTGGATTCAGTTTGCCAGTATTTTATTGAGGATTTTTGCATCAATGTTCATCAAGGATATTGGTCTAAAATTCTCTCTTTTGGTTGTGTCTCTGCCCGGCTTTGGTATAAGGATAATGCTGGCCTCATAAAATGAGTTAGGGAGGATTCCCTCTTTTTCTGTTGATTGGAATAGCTTCAGAAGGAATGGTACCAGTTCCTCCTTGTACCTCTGGTAGAATTCGGCTGTGAATCCATCTGGTCCTGGACTCTTTTTGGTTGGTAAGCTATTGATTATTGCCACAATTTCGGAGCCTGTTATTGGTCTATTCAGAGATTCAACTTCTTCCTGGTTTAGTCTTGGGAGGGTGTATGTGTCGAAGAATTTATCCATTTCTTCTAGATTTTCTAGTTTATTTGCATAGAGGTGTTTGTAGTATTCTCTGATGGTAGTTTGTATTTCTGTGGGATCAGTGGTGATATCCCCTTTATCATTCTTTATTGCTTCTATTTGATTCTTCTCTCTTTTCTTCTTT
Source organism: Homo sapiens (assembly GCF_000001405.40). Taxonomy (NCBI): domain Eukaryota; kingdom Metazoa; phylum Chordata; class Mammalia; order Primates; family Hominidae; genus Homo; species Homo sapiens. The sequence goes on along the minus strand of NT_187605.1, from coordinate 64,957 downwards.
ATTAGTCTTGCTAGCAGTCTATCAATTTTGTTGATCCTTTCAAAAAACCAGCTCCTGGATTCATTAACTTTTTGAAGGGTTTATTGTGTCTCTTTTTCCTTCAGTTCTGCTCTGATTTTAGTTATTTCTTGCCTTCTGCTAGCTTTTGAATGTGTTTGCTCTTGCTTTTCTAGTTCTTTTAATTGTGATGTTAGGGTGTCAATTTCGGATCTTTCCTGCTTTCTCTTGTGGGCATTTAGTGCTATAAATTTCCCTCTACACACTGCTTTGAATGTGTCCCAGAGATTCTGGTATGTTGTGTCTTTGTTCTCATTGGTTTCAAAGAACATCTTTATTTCTGCCTTCATTTTGTTAGGTACCCAGTAGTCATTCAGGAGCAGGTTGTTCAGTTTCCATGTAGTTGAGCGGTTTTGAGTGAGTTTCTTAATCCTGAGTTCTAGTTTGATTGCACTGTGGTCTGAGAGACAGTTTGTTATAATTTCTGTTCTTTTACATTTGCTGAGGAGAGCTTTACTTCCAACTATGTGGTCAATTTTGGAATAGGTGTGGTGTGGTGCTGAAAAAAATGTATATTCTGTTGATTTAGGGTGGAGAGTTCTGTAGATGTCTATTAGGTCCGCTTGGTGCAGAGCTGAGTTCAATTCCTGGGTATCCTTGTTAACTTTCTGTCTCGTTGATCTGCCTAATGTTGGCAGTGGGGTGTTAAAATCTCCCATTATTATTGTGTGGGAGTCTAAGTCTCTTTGTAGGTCACTCAGGACTTGCTTTATGAATCTGGGTGCTCCTGTATTGGGTGCATATATATTTAGGATAGTTAGCTCTTCTTGTTGAATTGATCCCTTTACCATTATGTAATGGCCTTCTTTGTCTCTTTTGATCTTTGTTGGTTTAAAGTCTGTTTTATCAGAGACTAGGATTGCAACCCCTGCCTTTTTTTGTTTTCCATTGGCTTGGTAGATCTTCCTCCATCCTTTCATTTTGAGCCTATGTGTGTCTCTGCATGTGAGATGGGTTTCCTGAATACAGCAAGCTCCATCAGCTCCTTTAAGCACTTCTCTGTATTGGTTATTCTAGTTATACATTCATCTAAATTCTTTTCAAAGTTTTTAACTTCTTTGCCTTTGGTTTGAATTTCCTCCTGTAGCTCGGAGTAGTTTGATCATCTGAAGCCTTCTTCTCTCAACTTGTCAAAGTCATTCTCCATCCAGCTTTGTTTTGTTGCTGGTGAGGAACTGCGTTCCTTTGGAGGAAGAGAGGCGCTCTGCTTTTTAGAGTTTCCAGTTTTCCTGCTCTGTTTTTTCCCCATCTTTGCGGTTTTATCTACTTTTGGTCTTTGACGATGGTGATGTACAGATGGGTTTTTGGTATGGATGTCCTTTCTGTTTGTTAGTTTTCCTTCTAACAGACAGGACCCTCAGCTGCAGGTCTATTGGAGTTTGCTAGAGGTCCACTCCAGACCCTGTTTGCCTGGGTATCAGCAGCGGTGGCTGCAGAACAGTGGATTTTCGTGAACCGCGAATGCTGCTGTCGATCATTCCTCTGGAAGTTTTGTCTCAGAGGAGTACCCGGCCATGTGAGGTGTCAGTCTGCCCCTACTTGGGGGTGCCTCCCAGTTAGGCTGCTAGGGGGTCAGGGGTCAGGGACCCACTTGAGGAGGCAGTCTGCCCATTCTCAGATCTCCAGCTGCGTGCTGGGAGAACCACTGCTCTCTTCAAAGCTGTCAGACAGGGACATTTAAGTCTGCAGAGGTTACTGATGTCTTTTTGTTTGTCTGTGCCCTGCCCCCAGAGGTGGAGCCTACAGAGGCAGGCAGGCCTCCTTGAGCTGTGGTGGGCTCCACCCAGTTCGAGCTTCCCGGCTGCTTTGTTTACCTAAGCAAGCCTGGGCAATGGTGGGCGCCCCTCCCACAGCCTCGCTGCCGCCTTGCAGTTTGATCTCAGACTGCTGTGCTAGCAATCAGCGAGACTCCATGGGCGTAGGGCCCTCCGAGCCAGGTGCAGGATATAATCTCCTGGTGCACCGTTCTTTAAGCCCGTCGGAAAAGCACAGTATTAGGGTGGGAGTGACCCAATTTTCCAGGTGCCGTCTGTCACCCCTTTCTTTGACTAGGAAAGGGACCTCCCTGACCCCTTGCGCTTCCCGAGTGAGGCAATGCCTCGCCCTGCTTCGGCTCACGCACGGTGCGCTGCACCCACTGTCCTGCGCCCACTGTCTGGCACTCCCTAGTGAGATGAAACTGGTACCTCAGATGGAAATGCAGAAATCACCCGTCTTCTGCATCGCTCACGCTGGGAGCTGTAGACCAGAGCTGTTCCTATTCAGCCATCTTGGCTGCCCCCTCCGTGTGTTTTTAAAGTATGTTTAAAATATATAGCGGTTACCAAGGCAGGGCAAAGAGGAACGGGAAGTGACTGATAATGGGTATGGAATTTCTTTTGGGGATAATGAAAATGTTCTGGAATTAGATAGTGGTGATAATTGTACAACTTTGTGAATATGCTATAAATCACTGAATTGTAAACTTCAAAAGGGTGAGTTATATGATATGAAAATATATTTAATGTTATTAATTATTGATATTATATGATTGACTGGTTTTATATGGTTAATTCATCTTGCTAGCTGAGGGTTTGCCAATTCCCCTGACTTTCAATAATATATCCTTTTCTGTAAAACAAGGGATTAATTATATTAGCTAATATTTACTGAGCATTCACTGTGGAAGAGGATTTACATACATTATTTCATTTAATCTCAGAACAACCCTATGAAATACGTATTATTACTACATATTTTAAGGAAACTGAAGCTCAGATTGCTTCAAGTATCTTCCCAGAGTCACAATTATTAAGTAGTGGGTCTCAGATTTGAACTCTTTATTTGACCCCAAAGCCTATTAACCACTGAGTCAGCAGAGAGCCCATCAATATGTTTTGTGGAATTGAATTTATTAAATGGATCAAATTTGTGAAGCAAAATATCTGCAATAACTTCCTACTGCTCTAGAGGGAGCTATAGAATTGGAAACCAAATGAGAGTCTAAAATTTCTGGACCTGGAAATCTTTTAGGAAACACATCTACTGCCAGCCCCTTTTAGGGGAAGAAGTCTAACCTTAAGGCAGAGAGAGAGAAACTCGAGTCAGGAATTGATATTCATCCTTATAAAGCCCTGGCTGGCAGGAATCACTTTATAAGAAAGCACATCAGCAGGTCGCGATGGCCCAGGCCTGTAATCTTAGCCTCACTTTGGGAGGCTGAGGCAGGAGGATCACCTGAGGTCAGGAGTTGGAGACAAGCCTGGGTAACATGGTGAGACCTCATCTCTACTAAAAAAAAAAAAAATAATACAAAAATTAGCCAGGCGTGGTGGTGCGTCCCTGCAGTCCCAGCTATTTGGGATGCTGAGGCATGAGAATCACTTGAACCCTGGAAGCGGAGGTTGCAGTGAGCTGAGATGGTGCCACTGCACTCCAGCCTGAGCAAGAGAGTGAGACTCTGTCCTAAAAAAAAAAAAAAAAAAAAAAAAAAAGAAAGAAAGTATGTATCTTCCTCCTTCAGTTCACTGTGCACATTCTCAAAGAGCAGAGAAAAGGCAAAGAGCTATGAAGTCCATGGAAGCTTGCATAAGAAATCCTTAATTTTTACCAGAGATTTTTTTTTCCTGAGAAGTTTTGTGTTGTAAATTTTTGAAATCATAGTTAAGATATCTAAGGAGAGTTCATTTGTTGCTTTTCAACCTTTATTCCTTCAAAGTAATTTTTAAACTTTGATGGGCAGTTTTTATGAAGAATTAACTTTGAGAGCAGAAAAATACAGTTCATCCACAGAGACAAACTATATAGCACAGCCAGCTTAAACCTAAGAGCAAGACACACTCCTGCTTCACGAGTCAAGCCATTTGCACATAAGAAGGCAAGATTCTGAACTTTCTGACTTCTTGGAGCTTCCCAGAGTTGAAAGAAATTTTAAGCCATTTAATTCACTCCTTTCCAACCTCTGCCTGAACATCTGAAGTAATGGGAAACTCACTATCACACAAACAATTTTTTTACTATTATGGAAAAGTGTCTATTTTCACTGACTTGGCCTTAAAGTAATAAGAATATAGTAGGTTTAGGCAATAGTGTTTATTTTTGCCCTAGAAATTATAAACAAAATGCTTATAGCCCTGTTTGCTTCAATAGCTAAGCACAGAGATGAGTAGCAGCAAACCTAAAGGTCCTATGATAGAGGAAATTAGAAACTGATCTTAATGATTAATATAATGAAATTAAACTTTATAAGAAGTGGAAACTAGTGGAAATGGATGATAACTCAGGATTCAAGGGCCCCTGAAAAACCCTTAGTGAGTTTTTCAAGCTTTCATGTAGTAAATAACCATTTTCTTTTGTTTGACAATCAGGAAAACACTAAGTTCAGAAGAACATAACTTCCTTTATTTTAGCTCTGAAGAGGTCTTAAAGGAAGAATTCAATTAAAAATGTTTACTATCTAAGTATCAACTCTGCCTTAAATATAAAATAATCAAATGTGAAGGTATTGTAAGCAAACCAAGTTATACATAATAATTTTTAAATCTAAAATAAAATGATTACATTGATAATGAAAGTAAATTGTATATAGTATATAGTTTATTTTTTCTCAAAATGTTTTGGTGGATTTCATTACTTTCCTACCAGCTTCTCTAGTATAAATTATCAGTTATTCCAAGGCTTGGAGAGAGTATAGTAGCTACCAGCTGTCACAAGTTAAATACTTCCCTTCATGAATTTCCTTTTGTGCTCCTAAATCCATATCCTCTTCTATGATCCTGTTTTCCACACTATTCCTAGAAGCCCTGCTAAGTTAAAAAAAAAAAGGGTCACTCACCTCCATGAAGCTTCAGCCCACCAAGGGGCAGAGGCAGGCACTTGAATCAGAGCTCAGCAGGCCCAGGATGGCTGCAGACTGGGAGTCAGGGACCTTTTAGTTTTCAAGGAATGGGCTCAGAGCATGATGGAAGAAAGAAAAGTTCAGGAGCTGGAGAGAAGCAGCAAGGCCAGAGTGAGGTCTGGCAGATTCCGTGACAGTTTGTCAGTTAACTTTGATCATCATTTGCTTAAGAGAAAGAGAAACCCTCATTAGAATACCCTACCTGCCCAACTTTTCTTTTGTAGGAGACAAGGGCAGCTCATTTAGATTCGAGTTAGTAGTCTAATCTTAAGGTTCATAGCTCCCCATTTCTGGACTAAGGATGCTCTATGAAAGAGGAAATACACGTCAGCAGCAGCCTATATTAAGCCTAACTCATGAAAAATAACCACCTCACCCCTGTTCATGATCCCATCACACCATCAAGACACCAGCTGAGTGGCTTTAATAGAGAGCTAGTTCACCTCTCATATTCCAATGAAGCAGCCCTGATTTTATCTCTGAGACAGTAACACAGGCCTGGGAAACACCAGGCCCTAAGAAAGCAGGATGAAAAAAGCTTCATTTCATACAGCTTTCTTCAGCAGTTTTAGCTCGCAGAGAGATGTACCAACACTGTGCTCCTGAGTGACTTATAAAGAGCCACCACAGAGCCAAACAGTTTTTCTTACAGTAGTTCCTCTAACTCAATATGATTTCTTGCACGTCTAGCTCCTGCCTAGCTGTCCAGACTTAATGACCACAGCTCTTTCCCCAGTGTTTGGGATCGCCCAAATATGTCACGCTTCTGCAGCTTTGTATATGTTGTCCCTTCGGATGGGAGTTTCCCTTCCCCCACACCCCCGTCATTATCTCTTTACTAAACTCTTCCCTAACCACCCCCTCATCCCCAAACCAAGCTTTACCCACTTCCCTGTCTCTTGTAGAAGATATTTTGCTGGCTCTATACCAGAGGTTACCAACCTCAGCCCTATTGATATTTTGGGCCTGCTAAGTCTTACGTTAGAGGGGCTGTCCTGTGAATTTTAGGATATTTAGCAGTGTCCCTGGCGTTTACACACTAGATGCCTGTAGCCACCCCCCCCCCCACCAAACCCAGTCATAACAAAAATGTCTCCAGTCATTGCCAAATGTCTCCTGGGGGCAGGGGTTGGAATCACTCCCCAGTTGAGAAACACAGCTTTACTCCCTTCCTTCCTTCCTTCCTTCCTTCCTTCCTTCCTTCTTTCCTTCCTTCCTTCCTTCCTTCCTTCTTTCCTCTTTCTTTTTTTCTTTCTCTTTCTTTCTTTCTCTCTCTTTCTGTTTTCTTTCTCCCTTTCTTTCTCTCTCTGTTTCTTTCTCTTTCTTCCTTTCTTTTTCCTCTTTCTTTCTCTCTTGCTCTCTTTCTTTCTTTCTCCCTTTCTTTCTCTTTCTCTTTCTTTCCTTCTTTTCTTTTCTTTTTTCTTTTCTTTCTGACAGGGTCTCACTATGTTGCCTAGGCTGATCTCAAATTTCTGAGCTCAAGCTGTCCTCCCACCTCAGCCTCACAAAGTGCTAGGATTACAGGTGTGAGCAACACCACGCCTGGCCTAGTTTTACACATTTCTATAGCACCCTAGATCTTTGTACACGTGGCTTTAACAGAGTGTATTCTAATTGTTTGATTGCATGTCTGCCCCTCCACTAAGTTGTGAACAAACCACAGGATAGGTAGTACTGTATCTTGCTCACCTTGGCAATACATGGCATTTGTTAGATCAAAACCTTTGTCAGATAAATGTCTATGAAATGCTGGTGATCACTTAGTCAAAAAAGTAATTTTGTTTCATCTTGATTGTTTTTGTTGTTGGCTAAAACATTTGACAATGCTTAGTATAGCTGATTTTACTAAAGCCAGCGCCTGCACATTTTTGAACCTTTAGCCTAGGGGTAAGAGTACTGGCCTAGAAGATGGAAGCCTTGTCTCTCACCACCAGAGCACTGAGTAGCCTTAGCTAAGACATTTAACTCCTATGGGTGTCAGTTCCTCCTTCTTTAAAATGTGAATTCCTAAGACCCCCTTCTGTCTCTAGAAGCCTGTGATTCCAAATCCTATGTAGCAAGAAGTCTCAATCTTCACAAAGAGTACTTCAAGTCTTTTTTTCACTATTTAAAAACAGTGTCCAGGCATGGTGGCTCATGCCTGTAATCTCAGCACTTTGGGGGGCCAAGGTGGGAGGATCACCTGAGCCCAGGAGTTCAAGACCAGCCTGGGCAAGATGGCGAGACCCTGTCCCTACAAAAAATTTAAAAATTAGCCAGGCATGTTGGCACGTGCCTGTGGTGCCAGCTACTCAGGAGGCTGAGGTGGGAGGATCATTTGCACCCAGGAGGTCGAGGCTGCAGTAAGCCATGATCATATCCCTGCACTCCAGCATGGTTGACAGAGTAAGACCTTGTCTCAAAAAATAAAAATAAAAAATAAAAAAATTCCATTGCTGTAAACGAGACCCAGAGTGATGGTTAATTTTGTATGTCAACCTGACTAATATACCCAGTATAAAAGTTGCTTAAGCAAGAATGAAATTTATTTCTCTCTTAAGTAAAAGTCCAAACTTCTATAGTGGCTCTGGTTTGCAAAGTTGTCAGTCTCCCAAATTCCTTCTCTCTACTTTGTTAACACAGAACTCACAACATCCATAAATTTGGAGAGGAGACTTTATTTCTTATAAAGCGTTAAAGGCCTGCAAGGTGGCCATCCCACAGGCCAGGAAGTACAATCTCTGGCAAAGACCAGAGACAGGCACTTCAAAGGAGGAGCAGGGGTAGGAACTTGATGCTGAATAGGTTGGCTAAACATACATATTCAACAGGTTACAGGAGGAGCTATGAATAATTATGAAGGTCATCCTGACTCATGCTTATTGAACAAACATGCATGTAACATACAACCCATGTTCACTTTGAGGTGGAGACTTAACTCTTTTTGTTGTTGTTATTGTTTGTTTTTTGTTTTTCGCGACGGAGTCTTACTCTGTCACCCAGACTGGAGTGCAGTGGCGCCATCTCAGCTCACTGCAATCTCTGCCTCTGAGGTTCAAATGATTCTCCTTCCTCAGTCTCCCAAGTAGCTGGGATTACAGGCGTGCACCACCACACTCAGCTAATTTTGTATTTTTAGTAGAGACGGGGTTTTGCCATGTTGGCCAGGCTGGTCTCAAACTCCTGACCTCAAGTGATTCACCCACCTCAGCCTCCCAAAGTGCTGGGATTACAGGGGTGAGCCACCACGCCAGGCCTAAGGTGGAGACTTAACACTTAAATGCATAACAATTAGACCCTATAAGTCAAAATGCCTGTTCAGGACAGGAAGGAACAAGGGTGCTTAGCCTCTATAAACTGGCCAGAACCAGCCCATAGTCAGTGGTCTTCTTATCAAGAGAAAGTGGCTGGGTGCGGTGGCTCACGCCTGTAATCCCAGCCCTTTGGGGGGCCGAGGCAGGCAGGTCACAAGGTCAGGAGATGGAGACCATCATGGCTAACACGGTGAAACCCCATCTCTACTAAAAATACAAAAAAATTAGCGGGGCGTGGTGGTGGGTGCCTGTAGTCCCAGCTACTTGGGAGGCTGAGGCAGGAGAATGGCATGAACCCAGAAGACAGAGCTCACAGTGAGCCGAGATCGGGCCACTGCACTGCAGCCTGGGCGACAGAGCAAGACTCTGACTCAAAAAAAAAAAAAAAAAAAATTGCTTATCTCAGCTGGTGCTTGTTTAGCTGCTAAACAAAAAGAAAAACTGACAGGGCAGAACTCCGTCTCAAAAAATAAATAAATAAATAAATAAATAGAAAATCTTGTGGCAGTTAGAACATAGTTTATTCTTTAAGTGTAGGAGTGCATGACATAACACTTGCCTGGCATGACCTTAGATCTTACGAATAATTTGTTATTGCCACAAAGGGTCTATTCTGTCAGCCTTATGATCTTTATTTTGACATTAATGCTGGTCAGTTGTTGTGTCTAAACCATAAAAGAGACGGAGATATAATGAAGCGTGTCTGACCTCCCATCCCGTCATGGCCAGGAACTCAGTTTTAAGGTTTTTCTGGGGTCACTTTGGTCAAGAGGGGTTCCATTCAGTCAATTAGGGGGCTTAGGATTTTAGTTTACAACTTACTTCACCATCTCTAGGGTGTTGTCTTTATTTATGTGGTCCAGAATGTCCACATGTGGCCAACTAAAAATTGATGACTATAAGAAAGGGAAAGTTGCTTTAAGGACGACCCCAGTATCTGGCACACTCTGGCAACTGAAGTCCAGAGCTGAAGCATAAAACCAAAGGAAACAAAAAGCAGTCTCAGAGCATATGAGAAATCAAAGAGTTTCTTATATACTGCAGATAGCAATTTTAAAAATCAGTATTTTTAAGCTCAGAGCATTGGATGCCAACAACCCATAGTTCCTGCACAAAGACATGGAAAAATCCAGCCACAGGATCTGTCTTGAGCAATAAGGCATACATCATATATAACTGCAGTGATACTGATGGAGGCTGATTTTTTTCAAACAAACTGGGCAGTGTTAGTATGTGTAAAGGAAGTGCAGAAGCACTGACTACAGATGTGGCCACATTCTATAGAGTAGATGTGTTGTATACTAAGTTCAATCTCTGAGCATCCATCCATGCAAACTTGACACTGAATATAACCAGGTAGTATATGACAAAAAAAATTTTTTTGCAGGGAATTATGGTGGGCACTGTTGGTTATACATACATCTCTGTCCCTTTTCACTCCCTCCTCATCATTGTTCACCACACAACTGCCAGTGTGGTCTTGGAGTGGCCTTGTGTTTGCTCTTGGCCTCCTCCTTTGTTCAATAATCACTACAGAGTCACGGTGAGTTAGGTCAATCACTACAGGTGCTAGAGATTCACAGGTGAGGTCAACTACTTCATCACTTTCCCCAAGTTCTATCAGTTCTGCATCCAAGGCTATGTTAGGTGTTGGGCCTCCTTCTCTGGCTATAGGGAATGCTCAGGCTTGTCTGGAATTCACCATGCTGTCTCAGCTTATTATAGTATTCCATTGTGCTTTTTGGATTCAGTCTTAGAGAAGTAAATGATCTGTGCCAAGGTTTACAGCAGATATTAAAACTCTTCGATGTCTCACTGCTGTTGTTCAGTCACTCTCTGACTTATAAGAATTTAGAGGTCAGATTTCCCCACATATTTGAACCCTTATTCTGGGTCCAGTCCTGTCTTCACTTCCACAACTGCTGTGTTCCCACAGGGAGTGGATCTTCTGGGAGCCATTTGTAAGATAGTTCAATCTGAATTTTTAACTGAAAAAAAATGAGAGAAAAATTAAGCTTTAGTAATGTCTAAATCAAGACTGATAGTAGTGTATGTATAAAATGTATAGCTATATATAGAGAATGTATACAAAAAACTTTTTATAGTTATGCATTTGAACAAAATTTGGAGGCCACTGCTGTTGAAACTGAGTGCCCCTCCCTATTCTATGACCTGATGGTAGTGAGGAGGAGGAATCTAAGGGGCACTTACATGAAGAGAAGCACAATATCATTGAACACCCAAGAAAGGGTTACTACTTCAATTAAGAGCTTTCTCTTTCCTTTTTTTTTTTTTTTTTTTTTTTTTTGAGAAAGAGCCTCACTCTGTCACCCAGGCTGGAGTGCAGTGGTGCAATCTTGGCTCACTGCAACCTCCGTCTCCCCGGGGTTCAAGCAATGTTCATGCCTCAGCCTCCCATATAGCTGGAATTACAGGTGCATGGCACTACACCCGGCTAATTTTTGTATTTTTAGCAGAGATGGGGTTTTGCCATGTTGGTCAGGCTGATATCAAACTCCTGACCTCAGGTGATCTGCCTGCCTCGGTCTCCCAAAGTGCTGGGATCACAGGCATGAGCCACAGCGCTTGGCCCACTCACTCATTTTTTATAAAGTAAAAACGGGAGACCAAAAAATCTCCTTACATACTCCTAAAAGCAAATAAGAAATAAACCATTTACTCTACTTGCAGGTTCATCTTGCCCAGTGTTTTCTTTCTAACAGAGGCAACAAATGGAGTTCTGAAAAATTTATCCCAGATTGCCTTCTAGGAAAGAGAGGATGGAGTTCGAGCATTAGCCATAGAAAGGCTTGGTTTGGGTCTAGGCTCTGTGACTTTTGAGCATGTGACCTAGAAGTTAAGTTGTCAAAATCACAGCATGTAAATCTTTGTAAAAATTAATTAGCTTATAATTTTAAAATAATGCATAGTCATTAGGGAAATACAAATCAAAACCATAAAGAGATACCATTTCGTATCCACTAGAATGGTTATAATAAAAAAAGATTAAAAGTATTGGTGAGGATGTAGAAAAATTGGAACTCTCATACACAATGGTACATTCAGCTTTGGAGAACAGCCTAGTAGTTCCTTAAAAGATTAAACATAGAGTTACCATATCACCCAGCAATTCCACTCCTGCATATATACTCAAGAGAATTGAAAATCTATGTCCACACCAAAAATTTATACATGAATATTGATAACCACATTTTATTCTCAGTAGCCGAAGAGTGGAAACAACCCAAATGCCCATTAACTATAGATGGATAAACAAAACTTAGTATATCTATACAGTAGAGTAATATTCATCAATAAATAGGAATGAAGAACTGATCCTTGCTACAATATGACGACCTTTGAAAACAGAAGCCAGTTACAAAAGACCACATATTATATGTTTCTGTTTCTATGAAATACTAATAGGCAAACCCATAGAGACAGAAAGATTGGTGGTTTCCTAGGACTAGGGGTTTGGGAGAAATGGGAGTGACACCGAACTGGTACAAAATTTCTTTTGGGAGTGACGAAAATGTCCTAAAATTGAGGTGGTTACACAACCCTGTGAATATACTAAAACCCACTGAAATGTACACTTAAATATGTTAATTGTATGGTTTGTGAACTATATCTCAATAAACAAAGATGTAAGCTGCCAAAAATGTTACACAATACAATAGGACACGAACTGGATTTAGATCGGCAAACCGTAGAACCTAGTGAGGAAATGAGAAGCCCAGCAGGAAAACGGGCGGACCCCAGAGAAGGGCTTAGGGCTCTGCGCTCCCCTGCATGCACCGGCCTACTTACCGAGATGGTACTTCTCTTGGGCCCCACAGACACCTGCTTCTCCCCGGATCGCTATTCTCGACTATTTGCGTTTCGCGACCGGCCTGCCCCTCCTCTTTCCCGCTCTGCCCAGGAAAAGCGAGCCCTCGGAAGGAACCTGGGCAGCCCCAGAAAGCAGTGCCCATCACTTTCCAGCTCCATCCACCCAGCAGCCCATCAATGACCTAAATATGCTGTCTGTTCCACCCAGTCCTGCCCGGTAGTTATTCAGCGATGAGAGAGTAGGAAGCTTGAGCTCCAGGAGTGTGCCACTTTCCCGGCCCTCCGTGGCTTCCCAGTCCCGGACAGAGACCTGAGCAAGCCGAACCCGGGTGCCTGGCTGCACTGGGCTGGGAAGGAGGACCGGGCGGCCGCAGGCCAGGGAGGGCAATTGGAGAGAGATAGAAGCAGAGGGAGGGGGAGGCAGAGGAGAAGGTACTCGACGATGGACGCGCCCAGGCTGGGGGCGGCGCCCACAGAGCAGAGCCAAGGTCACGAAGCAGAGCGTCTGCGTGCAAACTCCCGGAACTGGATAGGCTAAAACACTAGCTTGTCACCCTTTTAATTCGCTTTTACAGTTTCCGAACTGCCCAATCAAAACCCGAGCCCAGGGTCGCTCGTCACCGGTCTCTGGACAAAAAGCGCTGTTTCAGATTAGAAATCAGGACTTTCCCGTCCTGGTTTCTCTTTCTTCAAAGCCAGCTGCTTTCCGAGAAAGGGGAAGGGCAGGGTTGCTTCCCTCACCCCACCCCATGCAGTGATGAGATCAGCAACTTCCCACTCTCTAGATAAGTGATTCTCAGTGGTTGTTCCAATGAAGTCACTTGGAGTATTTATTAAGAGGCCGAGGGCCAGAGGTCGCAGTCCTCTGCAAGCACACTTAATGTATAAAAAAGCAGCCGGGCGCTGTGACTCACGCCTGTAATCCCAACACTTTGGGAGGCCGAGGTGGGCGGATCACTTGAGGTCAGGAGTTCTACATCAGCCTGGCCAACATGGTGAAACCCCTTCTCTACTAAAAATACAAAGATCAGCTGAGGGTGGTGGCGCGTGCCTGTAATCCCAGCTACTCAGGAGGCTGAGGCAGGAGGATCGCTTGAACCCAGGAGGTGGAGGTTGCAGTGAGCCCAGATCTCGCCACTTCACTCCAGCCTGGGCAACAGAGACTCCGTCCAAAAAAAAGCCTGCATATAATCTGGGCTTACAAGCACCAAGGACATGTAAGAAATGTGTTTTATATTTTTATATTTTTTGATTTTTTTATTTCTTGAGTATTTATTGACCATCTACTACCTCAGGCTCATATACACTGAATTTTCCAGGAATATAACTACCAGGTAACTCAAAGGAAGATGTATGTTGGTTTTTTATTTTTGGAGTTTTACCTAGAGATTTTCGCCATTTTAGAAAATTACACCAGAACCTGCAATACCATACTTGAATCTGAGCCATCAATCCAGCGTGCCTCTCAGTCTTCCATGCCGCTGGTTCACAGAGATCCTAGGCAGTTGCAAGTGTCTGGCACTTCTTTATACCAGCAGTGCAGCCAAGCTAGAGCATTCACAAGCTAAATTACTTAATTTTCATGATCATATTAGTAAAAGAATCACCACAAAACAATTGTTATAAAAAGGGGTTGTTGGGGGAAAGGGAGCTGTTGAATATGATTGGGGTTGAAACCTCTAATCCACACTGCAATCCTGGGGACGGTGCCCACCTCAGTCTGCCAAGCCTGAGCTTGGATACTGAGTTTCTATCCTAGAAATCTGTCAGATAAGGCTCCATTACATAAATGACTTGGTTGCTGCATCGTCACTAGGAACCCTTCATTCTCTTCACCTTTCCTGGCCTCAGTAAAAAAAAAATACACCTTCATTCTGGAAAACCCCTATGCTGCCAGAAAAGAGTTCTACCTGTAGGCCTACCTTTGGAGGAACTGTCCAGAATGAGTCAGGGCCATCTTGTTACTGAAAGCCTTTTAGGGAAAGGGATTCTCCCGTAGTTTCTTCTTTCATCAGATTAGTGCCAAGAAGTTTTCCATTGTACAAAATGAGTATCCTTAATCCAAAAATCTGAAATCCTAAATGCTCCAACATCTCAAACTTTTTGAGCACCAACATGATGCTCAAAGGAAAGGGTCACTGGGGCATTTTGGATTTTAGATTTTCACATTAGAGATGCTCAACTGATAATTAACAAATATTCCAAAAATCAAAAAAAAATCCAAAATTTAAAACACTTCTGGTGCCAGGCTTTTCGGATAAGGGATACTCAACCTGTATCTCCCTGCTGTGGTAATTTGCTCTAATGAGCTGTGAAAATAAAGAACCACTGGAAGTAAAAGCAGTTGCCTGGAGTCTTGCATCTTAGAGAGCCCTTCTCATTGCCATCCCCTTCTCAGAACCACCCTAAAAAGAGTGCCCGGCACAAAGTAGACACTCCATATTTATTTAACAAATGACTAAGTGAATAAATAAGTAAATTTATGATATAGGAATAATTATCCCATTTTATGGATATGGTGACAAAGGGTCAAGTCAGCAATATGACTCTTTTCCAATTTCTTTTGTGGAATTAGGATTCAAACTCAGGTCTGAGTCCAATATCATACACACTGTAATGCTATCCCCTTAGAAACTTTGAACTTGTAATGGAAGTTTGGGGTTGCATGTGTTATGGGCCCAGCAGAGGATGTTGACAGGAAACATGACTCACCCAGATCTGGCTTTATAAGCCAGTCCTCAGCTTTTGCATAGTTTGCTGCTAACAGCTAGCATCTGCAATTACCCTCAGTCCTGCAGATTACCCTCAGACACTGGAGGGAGCCGGAAGTACCTCGGAGTTTTATGTTTCACCTCGTTCCACAACCCTGGATAGCCAAAGACAGGCTGATGAAGAGCACCAAAGCCCAGCTCCTTTGTGTTGAGGCAGGAAAAACTCTGAGGTGTGTTCTTTGTTCTAAAGCTTCCCGTGTGATCAGGCTGAGTGTAGGACTTCTGAAATCATGCTCTCGCTTGGCTTCTTCCCATTCCCTGTCCTTCATCCCCCACTCCTTTACTGTTCTTTTCCTAGGAGCCCCCCACTTTTTTTTTTTTTTGAAACAGAGTTTCACTCTTCTTGCCCGGGCTGGAGTGCAATGGCACGGTCTCGAAGAGCCCTTTCTTAACAAGTCATTTGCATCCAAATCTTTGGCTCAGGGCCTGCTTTTGCAAGACTCCACCTAAGACACTCGCTGACTCTTCAGAGGATGAAAATGGCATGCACACTTGCAGACAGCTAAGGATTCTGTCTTCGTCTTTCTGTTGCTATAGCAGAATACCTGAGATCAGGTAATATACAAAAAAAAGAGGCCAGGTGAGGTGGCTCATGCCTGTAATCCCATCTTTTTGGGAGGCCGAAGACTGGAGGATCTCTTGAGGCCAGGAGTTTGAGACCAGCCTTGGCAACATAGTAAGAATCTGTCTCTACAAAAAGTTTTTAAAAACTAGCGATGCGGCCGGGCGCAGTGGTTCATGCCTGTAATCCCAGCACTTTGGGAGGCCAAGATGGGTGGATCATGAGGTCAGGAGATCGAGACCATCCTGGCTAACACGGTGAAACCCCGTCTCTACTAAAAATACAAAAAATTAACCTGGCGTGGTGGCAGGCACCTATAGTCCCAGCTACTTGGGAGGCTGAGGCAGGAGAATGGTGTGAACCCAGGAGGCAGAGGTTGCAGTGAGCCGAGATCGCACCACTGCACTCCAGCCTGGGTGACCTAGCAAGACTCCATCTCAAAAAAAAAAAAAAAATTAGTGATGCATGGGGGTGTGCATCTGTAAGCCCCGCTACTCAGGATGCTGAAGCAGCAGGATCACTTGAGCCCAAGAGTTTGAGGCTGCAATGGCACAATGGCAGAGCAAGATCCTATCTCAAAAAAAAGAAAGGAAGAAAAATGTATGGAAGAGGCTGAGAAGTTCAACGTTGAGGGGCTGTATCTGGTTTGCTTTGGGTGAGGGCTTTGTTCCGCATCATAACATGGGTAAAGATATCAGAGAGGCATCATAACATGGCTAAAGATAAAGATTTAGAGGGGCACAAGAGAAAGAGCGAAACTGGCTTTTATAACAGACCCATTCTCAGGATAACCCATTAATCCATTAATCCATTCATGAAGGAGCCCTCATGACCCAGTCACCTCTTAAATGCCCTACTTCTTAATACTGTTATATTGAGGATTAACTTTCTTTTCTTTGCCTCATTATTTTTTATTTTTTAATTTAATTTATTTTAGATAGATAGATACATAGATAGATAGATAGATAGATAGATAGATAGATAGATACATAGATACATAGATACATAGATAGACAGATATGAGGTCTCACTATATTGCCCAGACTGCTCTTAAACTCCTCCTGGGTTCAAACAATCCTCCTGCCTCCGCCTTCCAAGTAGCTGGGACCACAGGTGTGTGCTACCACACCCAGCTAATTTTTGTTTGTTTGATTTTGTAGAGAGGAGGACTCACTATGTTGCCCAGGCTGGTCTCAAACTCCTGGGCTCATGCGATCCTCCAGTCTCAGCCTCCCAAAATGCTGGGATTAGAAGTGTGAGCCACTGTGCCCAGCCAGGATTAAGTTTCAACATGAATTTCAGAAGGGACAAACATTCGAGCCATAATAAATGACAAGAAAACCGCTTCAACTATGCTGTGTCATTCAGTGGCAGCAAAAGTCCTCTCAGTTTTTCTAAGTGAAAAAAGTAAAAAGAGGAAGTGCCTGTAATCCCAGCACTTTGGGAGGCCAAGGCGAGCAGATCACGAGGTCAGGAGTTTGAGACCAGCCTGGCCAGCATGGTGAAACCCCATCTCTACCAAAAACACACACATAAAAAAATTAGTCAGGCATGGTGGTGCATGCCTGTATTCCCAGCTACTCGGGAGGCTGAGGCAGGAGAATCACTTGAACCCAGGAAGCAGAGGTTGCAGTGAGCCGAGATTGCGCCACTGCACTCCAGCCTGGGCGATACAGTGAGACTCTGTCTAAAGAAAAAAAAAAAAAAAAAAGAGGAAGTGGTCCATGTGGTCCGTGGGGGAGGGGAAGCCTGCACATCATTGCAGGCTTCACTTGGGCCTGTGTGTCTTACCAAAGACATAGATAACGCCTCAGTTTCTTAGACTTTTTAATCACCTATGTTGTGGAGGACCAAAGATGTCTAATAATTGCATCCAACTAATGACAGGAGATATATAGAGTTTAGTGCATAGTAAGTGCTTTAATATATGCTCGACTGTTATTTTAATTGTATTTATCAGTTTTTTTTTCTGTTAGGCCTTCTTGTAGCTCTCCAAAGTACCAGAATAATTTCTATGCACAAACTTTTCAATCAAGGTAATCACAGATGTTTTATTATTTATTTTGCGTCATCTAGAACCCAAATATTAGCCTTCAATTTTTTTCCTATAGGTCTAGACTCCAGGGAAAGACAATGCCAATTTTTCCCCCTAAAACTTTGATGGCTACATCACAGACAAAATATTTTTTTATTATAGGAAATGGCTGAGTGTGGTGGCTCTGTAATCCCAGCACTTTGAGAGGCGAGACTGGAGGATCGCTTGAACCCAAGAGTTCAAGACCAGCCAGGGAAACATAGTGAGACCCCCATCTCTACAAAAAAATACACAAAAAAAATTAGCCAGGAATGGGTGGTGCACACCTGTGGTCTCAGCTACTTGGGAGGCTGAGATGGGAGGATTGCTTGAGTCCAAGAGGCTGAGGCTGCAGTGAGCCAAGATTGTGCCTCTGCACACAAGCCTGGGTGACAGGGTAATACCCTGTCTCAGAAAAGAAAAGAAAAGAAAAAAAGAAAAGACCTTGAGTTTTGCTTCAAGGGTTTACAACACAAAAATGACAAGTAAAAAGCAACAGCCCAAAAATACCGTGAAAGTGGTTGTTGACAAAACTAGAAAGACATATCCATTTGTGACATGTTTTCCTTAGGGATCATGAAAAAAAGTAAGATATAAAAATTATTATTTAACAGTAACCCCTTTTTTAAAGGAGGATACAGTTAACCTTTGAACAATACAGATTTGGGGTGCAAGGGTCTACTTTTTTTTTTTTCCTTTTTGAGGGACTTGCTTCATCACCCAGGCTGGAGTGTAGTGTCCTGATCTCTGCTCACTGCAGCCTCAACCTCCCAGGCTCAAGTGATGCAAGCGTCCACTTTTTTGTGTGTGTGTGTGTGACAAAGTCTTGCTCTGTCACCCAGGCTAGTGTGCGGTGATGCAATCTCCGCTCACTGCAACCTCCGCCTCCTGGGTTCAAGTGATTCTCCTGCCTCAGCCTCCCAAGTAGCTGGGATTACAGGTATGTACCACCACACCCAGCTAATTTTTGTATTTTTAGTAGAGATGGGGTTTCACCATGTTAGCCATTTTTTTTTAAAGAGACTGGGTCTCGGCCGGGCGCGGTGGCTCACACCTGTAATCCCAGCACTTTGGGAGGCCGAGGCGGGTGGATCATGAGGTCAGGAGTTTGAGACCAGCCTGACCAACATGATGAAATCCCGTCTCTACTAAAAATACAAAAAATAATTAGCTGGGTATGGTGGCGGGTGCCTGTAATTCCAGCTACTCAGGAGGCTGAGGCAGAGAATCGTTTGAACCTGGGAGGTGGAGGTTGCAGTGAGCTGAGATCACGACATTGCACTCCAGCCTGGGTGACAGGGCAAGACTCCGTCTCAAATAAATAAATCAATAAATATGTACATACATAAATAAATACATAAATAGAGAGAGAGACTGGGTCTCACTATGTTGCCCAGGCTTGTCTCAAACTTCTTAGCTCACGCAGTCCTCCCACCTTGGCCTCCAAAAATGCTGGGATTACAGGTGTGAGCCACCATGCCCCACCTAGTTTGTTTTTTTAAAGTGGCTTCTTACACATATTTTGTAGAAACTAATTTTTGTTTCAGCAATATAGTATGGGTATGCTTCCATGTCAGTATGTAGGATCTACTTCTCTATTACTGATGTTGGGACTTTTCAGTTTAATTTGCATTGCACAATTATATTTAATAAGGTTAATTAAGCTTCCTGTATTCCTCCTCTTTGCTTGCTCTCTTCTAAAAAGAGAAACTAAGGCATGCTCCAAAGGAACTGTGAAAGTTGGTCATCAAACTGGGTCATTTTTGTCTTACTCAACTAAAACAGAGTCAAGAAGCCAGGGAGAAGCACTCAGGGCACAAAACATTGTTCCAAAAATGCGATTTTCTGCAAGCCTGGAAGCTGAAACTGCCTGCTATCATCTGAAACCAGGTTTAACTAATGGCTACTGAAATGACCTGCTACAACTCTGAGACTAGTTCTGTTTATTGTCATCATTTGCCAATCAAAACTTGCCAGCTCCTCAAAACTTTACTAGCACCAGTGAAATTTTCTCAGAGCGATAAGTAACATTTTCCCATTTTATAAAACCTTTTTGTACTTCAGACATGCCAAAGACCAGCTGGTCTGTGTGTATGCCCTGAGTTGCAATTCTTTCCTCCCAAATAAAACATTTTAATTTCAGAGATTCAACTCTATATTTCATTTGACTTTGACATAGTATTACCTTGTAATATCAGCCAGCAGAGCAGCCCCTCACAAAATAGCTCTGTTGAATGATATGGAATGGAGAGAGAGTTCTTTATGACTGAACTCAATGGGTCTGTCAATCTTGGATGTACATTAAAACTATCTAGAGGTTTTTTAAAAAATAACACTATACCTGGGCTCCATACCGAGAGATTATGGTTTAATTGGCCTGGATGGGAGTCTGGGAAGCTGGTGAGTTGTTGTTGTTGTTGTTGTTGTTGTTGTTGTTGTTGTTGTTGTTGTTGCTGTTTTTGAGATGGAGTCTCACTCTGTCACTCAGGCTGGAGTGCAATGGCATGATCTCGGCTCACTGCAACCTCTGCCTCCGAGGTTCAAGCGATTCTCTTGCCTCAGCCTCCTGAGTAGCTGGGATTATAGGCACGTGCCACCATGCCTGGCTAATTTTTGTATTCTTAGTAGAGACAGGGTTTCACCATGTTAGCCAGGCTGGTCTTGAACTCCTCGTAATCTGCTCACCTTGACTTTCCAAAGTGTTGGGCTTACAGGCGTGAGCCACCGTGCCTGCCTTGTTGTTTTGTGTGTGTGTGTGTGTGTGTGTGTGTGTGTGTGTGTGTCTGTGTGTGTGTTTGTTTTGTTCTTACAAACTCTACATGTAATTTTAGTTTGCAGCCAGGTGAAGAGTTAATGAATGGCCTAGGTAAGTGTGGTATAATATGAAACACATTTGGTCTTTGTCCCCAGTTCCTGTCAGAAGTTCCTAAAATCCTTTGAATTTTGAGTGATAGGAGTGTCTTTTATTATTAATAATAAGCCTCTTTGGTAACCCTTGAGTATATGCTAATGAGGTTATACTCATAGGTTTGGGCCCCTAGATAGCCTCAGGATGGTGCTAGTCACCAGAAAGACCAAGTGATGAGAAGATTAGTGTGTTGGAACTTCCACCCCCACCCATCCACCTCTGGGAAGGTGAAGGGGAGCTGGAGATCAAGCTCTATAAAAACTCTTGAACGATGAGCTTCCTGTTTGCTGAATGTGTGGAGGTGCTGGGAGGGTGGCATACACCTGGAGAGGGCATGGACTGTCACCACCACAACCCCCTACATATAGCCCTATTCATCTTTTCATCTAGTTATTCGTCTGTAGCCTTTAATCTTTTATAATAGATTGGTAAATATGAACTGTCCTAGCAAATTAACCAAAGTCAAGGAGGCAGTCATGGGAGTTCTGGTTTCCAGCTGGTCAGTCAGAAGTAGAGGTAACAACCTACAATGTGTGATTGGCATCTGAAGTGGAGGGCAGTCTTGTGGGACTGAACCCTCAACCAGCGGGATCTGACACCATCTCCAGGTAGATCCAATCAAAATCGAATTGAATTATGGGATACCCAGTTGGTGTCTGCTGGAGATTGTTTGGTGTTGTTAAATTAAGTTTAGCCTAGGCAGGGCACAGTGGCTCATGCCTGTAATCTCAGTACTCTGGGAAGCTGAGGCCAGAGGATCACTTGAGGCCAGGAGTTTGAGACCAGCCTGGACAACATGGTGAAACACCATCTCTACTAAAAACACAAAATTAGCCAGGCGTGGTGGCGCATGCCTGTAATCCCAGTTACTCGGGAGGCTGAGGAACGAGAATCACTTGAACCCTGGAGGTGGAGGTTGCAGTGAGCCAAGATGGTGCAACTGCACTCCAGCCTAGACAACAAGAGAGAAACTCTGTCTCAAAAAAAGGTTTAGCCTAAAGTTGCCTTAGCTGGGCACAGTGGCTCACACCTGTAATCCCAGCATTTTCGGAGGCTGAGGCGAAAGAATTGTGCAAGGCCAGGAGTTCATCTCTACTAAAAATTAAAAAACAAAATTAGCCAGGCATGCTGACATGTGCCTGTAGTCCCAGCTACTCTAGAGCCTGAGGCGGAAGGATTGCTTGAGGCCAGGAAGTCGAGGCTGCAATAAGCCATGATCATACCACTGAACTCCAGCCCGGGTGACAGAGTGAGACCTTGTCTCAAAAAAAAAAAATTAAATAAATAAATAAAACTGCCTCCCTGTGTAAGTTCAGGCTAAAGATTTCTCTCTGCATAGTGAACTGTAACCTAACTGGATGTGTAAACAGACTGTAACTTACTCTTATACCACAGAGTCTCAGCCAATCACAGGTGGCCAACTCTTCAAACCCTGTTTAAATGAGGCAAATGCTGAACTGCAACCAATCTGGCTGCTTCTGCCCCTGACTTCCATTTTCTGCACATCACTTTCCTTTTTCTGTCCCTAAATGTCATCCAACCATGTGGCACCCCCAGAGTCATTTTGAACCTATTCTGGCTCCGGCAGCTGCCTGGTTCGAGAATCATTTTTGCTCAGTTAAACTCTGTTAAATTTAATCTGTCTAAAATTTTTCTCCTAACAGAGTGTGGGGGGAAAACCCCTAAATATCCGGTCACAGAAGCATTATGTGTTAAGTGTAAGAGTAGAAATTTTAAAACTTTGTTTTTCTTTCAGAGTATCATCCCCCAATTTTTTCAGCTGAGTTCCTACAAGTCTTCCCCCAGACACCCTTCCTCCACTGTTTGGAATTACCCAAACCTGCCATGTGGCTGTCCTTCCTGGCTACCATGCCTGGAAACCCAGGCCCCACCTACCAATCAAGAGAACCACTAGCAACTTACTCTCAGCTCAGGCAAATGGCTTCTCTAACACCTCCCTAGATTTTTGTTGTTGTTCCTTGAACAACAACATTTCTTTTTTAAAAAAATTATTTTTTGTTTTTTTTAATTCAATTCTTTGAATTGAGACAGGGTCTTGTTATGTTGCCCAGGCTGGTCTCGGACTCCTGGGCTCAAGCGATCATCCTACCATGGCCTCCCAAAGTGCTGGGATTACAGACATGAGACACCTCGCCCAGCCTGAACAACAAAATTTCGATTGCCAAGTTCTTCGCGCGTACCTATGCTATATTCTTATCAGGATATATTTTAATTATTTGAGTGCATATCTGTCCCTCTGCTAAACTGAGAAGATCGGGAGCAGTGTTGTGTTTTATTTATCCTGTCAGTACCTAGAACTAGCTAACTCAGATTCTTGGTCAAATAAACAAAGCTGGCCATCAGGTATAAAACTATGCCTTGAAAATTTTAAATCTGTTATTTGTCATTCAAAGTACAGCTGGCCTTCCGTATCCAGGGGCTCCACATCTGTGGATTCAGCAAACCATGGATCAAAAACACTGGGGAAAAAAAGGGATGGTTGTGTCTTTACTGAGCATGTACAGACTTTTTTTTCTTGTCATTATTCCTTAAACAATAACAACTATTTGCATAGCATTTACATTGTATTAGGTATTACAAGTAATCTAGAAATGATTTAAAGTATACAGGAGGATGTGGATAGGTTATATGCAAATACTATACCATTTTATAGAAGGGACTTAAATATCCATAGATTTGGTGTCCAAGAAGGGGTCCTGAAACCAATCCCCCAGGGAGACCAAGGGATGACTGTATATCTATTCCTTGCTAAAATATTAAATCCTTCAGATACTTTTGCTCCCTCTTAGAGTCTGCATACTCCTCATGACCTGGCCCGCAGGAAAGAACGCTGGCTAAAATATAGAAGGCTGGCCTCCCACTAGACAGCTGTGTCACCCCAACTATGCCATTTAACTTCTTTGAGCATCAGATTCCTAATCTGGAAAATGTGAATCACTGAGGCCCTTTACACTGTGAGCCAAACTCTATATACAAGGGGTTCACATTTTTTACCAAGTGGAACTTGAAGACTGTTTCCCTGTTTGAAAATAAAGGGGTAATAGTGGGAGTGAGATATAAGAGATAACACATCAAGTTTTATGATTTATTTAACTTGTGGAACAAAAATAAACCAGATTAACCACAACCATGCCTTACTTTATCAAATGTATAAGAAGTAAATATGAATCTTATATGACAAAATGTTTCATTCATTATAACAAATTTCCAATAATCCTGTCAATTATATTTCTAAATTTTCCCCCAAATTCTAAGCAGAGTATGTAAATTGGAAGTTAACTTATGCACGCTTAACTATCTTAACAAGCTTTGAGTGCAAGAGATTGAAGAGTTCAAATCTGACCAAGATGTTGATGTTGGATAAGAGAATTCTCTGCTCCCCACCTCTAAGTTGCCAGCCCTGCTAGAGCTACCTGTGGAGCAACCTGCTCAGATACATCAAACATGGAGACAGCACTCAAAGTAGAATTATAAAGAAGATCATGTCCATGTTAACATTATTATAACCCTACATTTTGTGCATAAAGTGTAAGTGTATAAGCATATCAATATTAAAAAGCAAGCAAGCAGAATTTGGAATTCATCCAATCCAAATGCGGCATCTTCAAACCTGAAAAGAAAAGAAAAAGGTTAGCAATGAATTTATTTTATTTGGATTGCAGATCTCATTACCAAACTTGTCTAATTTCTACTGTGTAGATCACCTTTTTAAAAGAAGTAGCTGCAGACAGTTCTCCAAACCCATTATAAAGAGTATATCCTGTTAGTGTATCCCTTTGGTGCTCCCAAAATCTTAGAAGAAAAAATGCTGATATGATGTTTTGGTCAATGATGGACTGTATATATGACAGTGGTCTCATAAGATTAAAATAGCATATTTTTACTGCAACTTTTCTATGTTTAGATACACAAATACTTACCATTGTGTTACAACTGCCCACAGTATTCAGTACAGTAACAGGCTGTACAGGTTTGTAGTCTAGGAGCAATAGGCTATACCATGTAGCCTATGCGTGTAGTAGGCTACAACACCTAGGTTTGTGTAAGCATTTCTCAGAACATGTCCCCGTCATTAAGTAACACATGACTATATTAGAGTTCAGGTCCTGGCTCTACAATTTACTAACAGTGTGACTGGGCAGATCATCCACCTTCCTGATGCTCTCCCAAATCAATTCCCTGTTCTAGAATATAACAGGAGATTTGAATGGGGTTTCAGCATCAATGTACCCTGGGCAGTAGAATTTCATTGAAAAGCCTTTGGACTCCAACTAAAGATGCAGAGAAGTCCAAGTTCCTCCCTCTCTCTTGCTTCTGGAGCTCCTTGTAGTTACATCTATTATAGTATCATTATATCAAGTTATAACAATCTGTTTCCCTTTATCTCCTCTAGTGGCCTGGGAACCTCTAAGAGGCAAACACAGTCCCCATACAGGAATGGGATGTCTGCAGAGCTGTATAACTCCTCTCTTCTGTCTGAAGAATAAAACAACATTATACAAAGGAAAAGAGTGGTTCATTTTCTCTCCTCAGCAGAGATGTCCAATGTGGAAATGGCAGAAGAAAGATCAAAGCCTTGCAGGTAATGTGGGTAACCACCTGCCTTTATCCTGCAATACCATACTGGCAGTTCCTTTGCCCTCTCTGTAGAGGGTCAGTAATATGGCCATACCTGGGGCCATACACCTTCTTCATGCCACTCCACAGGAGAAGGGAACATGACCCTGTAGGATTCTTCTTTCCCTGCTAAAATGTTACTCTGTCAATGTTCTCCACATAGTGAGGGTTATCATGTTAGAGCTGTCTATAAATAGTCCTCAGGACAGTGAAACAAAAACATTTTCTCAAGGTCAAAAACTTACCTCCATGATGCTGCTTACATGTCTCGATCTATGAAAAAGACAGTGGAGAAAAAAAAGGAAGACATTAAGTTTTACTTTTAAAATACCATGTACTAACAAATGTCTAAAATGGTTAGAAATGAGGCTGGCAGAATAGGCTGCTGTTCCTACCCATGAATACATTGTTTAGAGCTACCCAGCAGGAACAAGCCCTTCCTACTAGCCTCAGATACCAATCCAGCCAGAAAGTACTGGAGAAGTCCAGGATTATAGGATGCTAGGACAGCAGGACTTACAAACAAAGGCCTATACCTTCTTGAGATGTTCGTTCAGTGCTAAATATACCTGAAGCTGCCACAAAAGCTAGAGGAAGCCAGTAGGTAAGAAGTGTTAAGAGTGTATATGTATTTGTGCAAGTGCTGCTGCTGCTCCCTGCTCAACTGCAGGGAAACTACTGGTTCAGAAACCATGCTGTGCATCAGTATCTCAGCAGGTGCCACTAATCTGATCTTTAAGAACATTCCCTGACAATCCCAATATGCAGATTGTTTATATCAGATGGGATGGGACTCATTCAGGGTAGTATGGCCATAGACCTTTTTTATATCAAAGCAGCTTTATGATATGACTACTCATACACAACTTTCAGCAGCTTACAAAAGAATGTAAGACTTACCCCACTTAACTATCTTGGGCTGTGACAAAGTCACATGGTTCACACGGCAGGCATACTCATCTTTTTCAGTGGGGGTGAATTCAGTGTAGTACAAGAGATAGAAAGACCAGTCCTTGCTGAAAGACAAGTCTGAATGCTCCACTTTTTCAATTCTCTCTCCATTCTTCAGTAAGTCAACTTCAATGTCGGATGGATGAAACCCAGACACATAGCAATTCAGGAAATTTGACTTTCCATTCTCTGCTGGATGACGTGAGTAAACCTGAATCTTTGGAGTACCTGAGGAATATCGGGAAAAGACACATTAATATTGCCAGGGTATTTCACTTGGGGCTAACTTGGTGTCAAGCTATATCAGGCACCAAGTGTTTACATTTGGTCATCGATTTCTCCCAATTCCATTTCCACTCTGGCCAAATGAGCTTCCACCTTCCCAACAAGCCACCTCCATTTTGAAGAATAAACCGTGACTTGGTATCTTTCCCTCATAATTCCTCTATACATGCCTTTTTTGTTTTTTTTCTAGCAGATTTCTAGCAGTATCTTCTGTCACTGGAGATTGCGCTGCATTTTTAAGAGCCTTTCTCTGGAGGCTCTCAAGGACTTCTGATGCCCTCTCAGCACTCATAGCATTCCTTAACACATCACTCAAGAGTCTACATGATTTGGCCCCAAGATACTTTTCAAAGTTCATTTCTCAGTTCATAATAGCCCCCATCAAATTACTCATGTTATTGTACTCTGTTTCCACCCCTTCCATTTTTTTTCTTATGTTTATGCCTTTCTTTTTGGTTCCTGCTCCTGCCTTGATCTACACCCATCTGATTTTCTAAACTGTATGAAGTGTCTAGTAGAGTGCCTGGGACATAGCAATTGCTCTATACGTGGCAGATGTTATTATCTGAGGTTCCTAAGTGGATCAACCCAAGGTATGTTCTTTATTTTTTTATTTTTTTATTTTTTGGGATGGAATCTCATTCCATTGCCCAGGCTGGAGTGCAGTGTGCAGTGGTGAGATCTCAGCTCACTGCAACCTCCGCCTCCTGGGTTCAAGTGATTCCTGGGACTACAGGCACACACCACCATGCCTGGTTAATTTTTGTATTTTCAGTAGAGACGGGATTTCACCATGTTGGCCAGGCTGGTCTTGAACTCCCAACTTCAAGTGATCAGCCTGCCTTGGCCTCCCAAAGTGTTGGGATTACAGGCACGAGCCACCGTGCCCAGCCAACCCAAGGTATGTTCTTACCAAACAACAAAACCTCTTTATTTCTGCTGAGGGTTTATATGCCAGACCCCTCTCTGACTTTGTACCTAATTTCATGAGCTAAAAAACAAAGAAACAAAACCTAAATGCATACAAGAGCTGGCAAATACCTTAAATGGTTGAGTTGGACCCGATAAAATACAACAGGGATAGGTGAGGACTATGGCAAATGGGACAGAACATAC
Source organism: Homo sapiens (assembly GCF_000001405.40). Lineage (NCBI taxonomy): Eukaryota > Metazoa > Chordata > Mammalia > Primates > Hominidae > Homo > Homo sapiens. The sequence goes on along the minus strand of NT_187605.1, from coordinate 37,595 downwards.
TTTCCATTATGATCAAATGGAGTAATGCATGTGACAGTGGGATTTGCGTTTTAATTAGCATCCACAGGTGATTGCTGTAAACTAGCCAGGTTGGGAATATATTGCCTAATGTTTCAGAAACAGTACTTTCCAAAATGAGAGGCATGACTAGACCATCCATGGGGAAGTGGGAAGAAAATATTATAAACTCTATATTTTTCATTGAAAATGAAGAGAAGTGTTAGTGCTACTAAATATACAGATTGACACTAAATATATGTGTATAAAATTCTTTTAAATACACTTATATTCAGGGTACATGATCACTAAAAGGCAGCTACTCCTCCTTGTCTGGGAGGCTGTGGGGAGAAGGAGGAGTACCAGGCCACCTTGACCAGATATATCTCTCTAGAAACACCCTATCATTAAGGAAAGGCTACTAGCCCCATCAAGAGGTGGATTGGGGAATCTAATGAAGACCTGATTTTTTTCATAACATTAAAAGCTAAGAGAGCTCTTTGCATCTGAGCTTCTAATAATAAGAACATATTAAATGCCTCAGGGATCAGAGCACAGATTCATCCTGCCTGGAACTCTCTGTTTGAGGGAAGGCGGCAAGATTTTGTGAGAGCATCACTGTAATCTTTTCTAAGAAGAGGACAAGTATCAGACAGGCTGGGTTTGAATTTGGGCTCAACCAGTTACTGGCTTTATGACTTTTGGAGAGTTATTTAAGCTTCCAAAACTTAACTGAAAAATTAATTTATGCCCACAGTAAAACAAAAACAAAACCCACACACAGGTCAGACGAGGAAAATAGACCTTCAGAGGCAATCATCATTACATGTTTCTTGTGGTATCTTCCAGAAATGGTCTATGCATGGCATGTATTACTTTGGAAATTTTCAAAATAAGATTTTTTTTTAAATATCAGATTGTTATTTTTTAAAATGACATCTAACATAACCAGCAAATACCAGTAATGGTGGTGATATATACATTATCCTTTATGTTGTAAATAAATTGTATTCAAATTAAATGCAATTTTCTCATGATCAAAACATTCTGCTTTCGATCATGTTTTGCCAGAGGAAAAGGTGAGCGCGCTTAGTGTATTGCCAGGTACTTAGAAAGTGCTCAAGATCTCTGGCGTCCTCAACAGTCTTGGTAACCATCTTGGATTATCTTTATTAATGGTTTTACAACTCCCCTGACTGACAAACCTTCACTTCTTTCTTTCTTTTCTTTTCTCTTTCTTTTTTTTTTTTCTTTTTTGAGAGACAGGGTCTCGCTCTGTTGCCCACGCTGGAGTGCACTGGCGCCATGATAGCTCAAAAGCCTAAGCTCAAGAGATCCTCCCGCCTCAGCCACCGGAGCAGCTGGGACCACAGGCACGAGCCACCACACCCGGCTAATTTTTGTTATTATTTTTTGTAGAGACCAGGCTTCACCATGTTGGCCAGGCTGGTCTCAACTACGGACCTCAAGCCATCCTCCCGCCTCGGCCTCCCTAAGTGCTGGGATTACAGGCGTAAGCTACCACGCCCAACCCCCTCATGTTTTCAAAACCGAAAGTAAGAGGCACAGTACATCTTGGAAACAACCAGGCAAAGAGCCAAAGAGGAAGCCCTCTGTACGAAAAGACCACAGGGCCCATGCCGCCCAGTTTGCTCTGGAGAATCTCACGCAGAAGGCAGGCGTTTTTCTTAAAAAAAAATGCACGAATTACAGCCAAAAGGCATGCGCTCCCGCAAAAGCCCTGGTTAGGCTTGACTTCAATCTCGATTGCTGCCATTTATCCCCTGTGTAATTAAGTTTCTTAAAATCTCGGTGCCTTAGTTTCTTCATCTGTGAGAGGCAGAAGATAACCATAGTAGTTATCTATGGCGGAAGATAACTGTTTTCAAAATTAAATGACGCAAAGCACATAAAGTCCTTGGCACACAGAAAGATGTCAATAACGGGTAGTTCTTATAATTTTTTAAAAGTGACATGTGATGGGAACAAATAAGTTAATTATTCGAAACCGCTTTGTATCACAGCCAAGCATTCTACAAACGTCGCGTGCTGTTTCCTCCCCACGGTGTGGCCCCACATAGACCCAGAGGTGCTAGGACATGCGAACTTAGCGGGCGCCTAGATGAAGTCCACAGCTCTCCAGTCTAAGGGAAGCAGAGCCGCAGCAGACAGGCTTACCCGGGCGACGCCTCCCCCAGACCCCAAGCGCCCCTCCACGCGTTCACAAACCTCAGCGCCGCGCCTTTGGGACGAGCCTACCCGTCCCCCACTCCAGCTGCGCTGGGGGAGCCAGAGGCCCCGCGAAAGAGCGGAAGAGAAACCCTCCCCCAACCTCGGCGCTCTGACGCTTATCGACGCCCTAAACTTTGTCCCGACCCTCCCGTCGCCGTAGGCCAAAGGTCTCCCCTGCTCCCCGCCGAAAGGGGCAAGTAGCGCGCGTCCCGGGTGCGCACCCCCTTCCCCACTCCCAGGCCACCCCGCCGCTTCCCCGAGATCCAGCCCTGGACTAGCCCCACGGCGGGCCACCAAGGAGAACTTGGAGAAGGGAAGTCACGGAGCGAGAGAGCACAGCGAGGGCCACAGAGGGTGCAGAGCGGGAGAGGAAGGACCAGAGCGGGAGGGTAGGAGAGACTCACGCTGGATAGCCTCCAGGCCAGAAAGAGAGAGTAGCGCGAGCACAGCTAAGGCCACGGAGCGAGACATCTCGGCCCGAATGCTGTCAGCTTCAGGAATGCCCGCCAGCGCGACGCCTCCACTTATATTAAACGCGTGCCCAGCCAATCAGGACAAGGCCCGCAGGGACCGTCACCTGTCTCCAAGCCAGCGACGCAGTGCCAGGTTAGAGAGAGGGACTTTCCCGTTTTCAGTTTCCTTTTCTTAGAGTCTCGTGATGTTTAAGAAGGCATGCACTAGACTGGGTGAGTTTGCTGTCTGTACATCGGCGCCCTCCGATCTGGGGTGCGCGCCCCAGCTTGGGACACCGGGCGCTCATTCTAGGACTTCAGGCTGGAGGCACATTAAGGCTGCCCCCTCGCTTTGCAGACTGGCCCCAGAGATGCTAAGTGACTTGCTAATGGTGCCCCCGCCAGTTAACTGCTCGGACCTGCATTTTTCATTCGAGAAAACGGAAACCCAGAAGATTAAGATCTTTGAATGCTACCTAGCAGAAGGAGAACTTCTGTTTATAACTACAGCTTGGGAATTCCCTGCAGGGTTTCTCCATTCTCTGGGTAAGAAAAATAGTCCCAAAAGCATCCTGAGGACAGCTCAGAGAAGGTCCTAGTGAAAGAGTACCTTTCTTGCTTCTTGTATCCCTTCAGGAAAAAGTGTTTGGAAAGTTCTGTGCCAAGAAGTTCCTCCCTATGTCCTTGCTGTTTAGGTAATTTTCTTTGTTCTGTTGATTTGTCGGGGGGCGGGGGGGAGAAAAAAACGACCACTAATAGTAAAAGCAGTAACTGCTAGGGCTTTAGAGCTTCCAGCGCCCTCTAGGTACATCATTCTCTTAGTTTCCACCCTAGAACAGGGGCTGGCACATAGTAGGTACTCAGTAAACCGAATGAACGAATGGATGGATGAATGAATGAATTAGTGAATATATAAATAAACTGTAGGAGGAAAGAATTACCCCCATTCATTTTATGGACAGGGGAAACAAAGGCTAAGAGACTAGAATTCAAACTCTGGCCTGATTCCATTGACATTAATATTTTAGACACTGGAAGACAAAGGGCTCGGCAATTTTAGTGAGAGTTTGGACTGCATCTGCCTTGGACCCAGCCAAGGACGTTAAACATGACAGGCAGACCCATTAAGAAAACCTACCCTCTAAAGTGACCATAAATAAGGTGCCGCCATTTCGTGGTGGTGGAGTCCACAGATCTTTTCTAAGAGGAACAGTGAGAAGAGGAAGTGGACCATGGCGATGGGGAGGGGCAGAGATCTTGGAAGTCACCATGGTTTTCAGTTGAAAGGATTTGCCTAGCTTCCCCAAGGAGCACAACAAATAACTTCTAGGTTTCTTTTACATATTTTTAGGCTTTTGATAATCTTTATTGTGGAGGCCATGCCTAAACTAAGAAAATGCAATACTCTCCATGGACCTAATGAAATGAGATAATGCACAAGAGAGAGCCTCCCACAATGCCTGGTACATAGTAAGTGTTCTGTAGTGTTTAATAAGCGCTATAATTATTAATATTATTTACCTAGTTTTTCTACCAGCCCTCTCAATAACTAAAATATGAGAATAATTGTTATGCCTAAATGTATGAGTTAAGACACTCTTGCTCCCTCCCTTTTCCCCCTTTTAAAAACTCATATAAGGCACTAAAGGCCTGAAATGTTAGTGTTGAGTTGTACTAGAAAAGTGCCTTAGAAGTTTAGCAAGGGACAGGGCTATTTTTGCCTCTAGTTTCTTGTTTACTACATCACAGAGAAACACTAAATTTAAAATCCATTACAGATAGATTCTGATTTACTCACTTGGAAAACCAATTTAAAAACCAATAAAAAACAGTACAGATAGAAAAAAGTCGATTTTACAGTTTCCTTTGGGGGGGAATACCTGTATTTTTCTTGGACTTACCATTTATGACATGTTTTGAATAGTGAGGGGGAAAATTATGTATACAACTATTTGTTTAAAAACAAGAGCACTGTTTGCCTAGGATGGCAAATTTGGGAAGTCTACAAACATGACAATTTCTTTTTTTTTTAATTTTTAATATTTTTGTGGAGACAGAGTCTTGCTGTGTTGCCCAGGCTGGTCTCGAACTCCTGGTCTCAAGTGATCCTCCTTCCCCAGCCTCCTAAAGTGCTAGGATCACAAGCATGTGTTACCACGCCCAGCCACAAATATGACAGTTTAATAGCTTTATCTCCCAGTAGTGCAATTAACAGATTAATAGCGGCCTTTTTTTCCCCTATATAACCCTCTTAAAATTTTTTTACAATGAACATTTATTCAAAGTAGTAAATGTTGGCAAGAATTTAGAAGAACTGGAACTCTCATACAATCCTGGTAGGAATATAAAATGGTATAAACAATTTGGGGCTGGATGTGGTGGCTCACACCTGTAATCTGAGCACTTTGGGAGGTCAAGGCGGGCAGATCACTTGAGATCAGGAGTTTGAGACCAGCCTGGCCAACATGGTGAAACCCTGTCTCTACTAAAAATACAAAAATTAGCTAGGCATGGTGGCAGGCATCTGTAACCCCAACTACTCAGGAGGCTGAGGCAGGAGAATTGCTTGAACCTGGGAGGCAGAGGTTGCAATGAGCCGAGATTGCACCACTGCACTCCAGCCTGGGCAACAGAGCAAGACTTCATCTCAAAAAGAAAAAAGAAAAAGGAAAACACTTCGACAGCTCTTTATAAAGTTAAACATACACTGGCCATAATATCCAGCCACTCCACCCAAGGTATTTGCCCAAGAGAAAATGAAAGCATATGTCTATACAAAGACTTGGACATTAATGTTTAATGTTTATAGCAGTTTTATTTGTGATAGCTGAAAACTAGAAACGATCCAACATACATCAACAGGTAAATGAATAAACCCATTGGAGTATATATCCATACAATGAAATACTATCATCAACAAACAAGGAATAAACTGTTGATACATGTAACATGGATGAAATAATCATGGTAAATAAAAGAAGTCAGACAGAAAAGAACATATACTATATGATTCTGTTTATATAAAACTCCAGAAAAGGCAAACTATAATCTATATGACAGAAAGTAGATGAGTGGTTTCTAGAGGGAAAGGAGATCATCTAAACATGAGGAAACTTTAGGGTTGATGGATATGTTAATTATCTAGAGTTCGATGATGATTTCAGTTATATTTTAGAACTTATTGTATACTTTAAGTGTAATATATTGTATGTCGATTATAAATATTTAAAAGGACATAGCTAGGGGAGGTGGAGCAAGATGGCTGAATAGACGCCTCCACTAATCCTGCTCCCTGCAGGAACACCAAATTGAATAATGATCCACACAAAAAAAAGCACCTTCATAAGAACCAAAAATCAGGTGAGTGATCACAGTACCTGGTTTTAACTTCGTATCACTGAAAGAGTAACTGAAGAGGGTAAGACAGTCTTGAATTGCTAAATGCTATCTCTCCCCCATTCGCCGGCAGCGGCCACCTGGCATGGAGAGAGAATGTGTGCTTCTGGGAGAGGAAGAGTGCAGTGATTTTCAGACTTTGCATTGGAACTCAGTGCTGCCCAGTCATAGCACAAAGCAACACTGGGAAGAACTCACCCAGGTCCCATGGAGGGATCATTTAGACCAGCCCTAGCTAGAGGCAAATCACCCATCCCAGCAGTGGGAACCTGAGTTCCAGTAAGCCTCCCCACCATGGGCTGAAGTGCTCTGAGGTTCTACATAAACTTGAAAGGCAGTCTAGGCCACAAGGATGGCAATTCCTGGGTAAGTCCTGGTGCTGTGCTGGGCTCAGAGCCAGTGAATGTGGGGGGCACACAACCTAGTGAGACACTAGCTGGGATGGCCAAGGGATTGCTTGCACCACCCCTCTCCCAACCCCAGGCAGGGCAGCTCAAAGCTCAGAGAGAGACTTCTTTCCTCTGCTTGAGAAGAGGAGAGGGAAGAACAAAGATGAGTTTGTCTTGCATTGGATACCAGCTCAGCTGCAGTAGGATAGGGCACCAGGCAAAGTCCTGAGGCCCACATTCCAGGCCATAGCTCCAAGCTGACATTTCTAGCCACACCCTGGGCCAGAAGGGAACCTGCTGCCTTGAAGGGAAGGACCAGTCCTGGCAGGATTCCTCACCAGCTGACTAAAGAGCCCTTTGGCCCTGAATAATCAGAAGTAGCCAGGTAGTACTCATCATGGGCTTTGGGTGAGACTCAGAGACGTGCAGGCTTAAGGTGTGACCCAGCACATTACAGCTGTGGTGGCTATGGGGAGAAATTCCTTCTGCTTGAGAAAAGAAGTGGAAAGAGTAAAGGGGACTTGGCCACTGTGGGGTTAGAATACCAAGTGGCCTCTTAAGGTCCCTGATTCCAGGCTTTGGCTCTTAGATAGCATTCCTGGACCTGCTCTGGGCCAGAGGGGAGCCTGCTTCCCTGAAGGGTGAGTCCCAGGCTGGGCAGCGTTCACCACAAGCTTACTGCAGAGCCCTTGGGCCTTGAGTATACATCAGCAGTAGCCAGACAGTACCCACCACAGGCCTGGGGTGGAAGTGGCCATGGCAAGAGACTCCTCAGCTTGTGGAAAGGGGAGGGAAAAGTGGGAAGGACTTTGTCTTGTGGCTTGGGTGCCAGTTCAGCCTCAGTGCAATAGAGTACCAGGTAGATTCCTAAGGTTTCTGACTAGGCCCCAGTTCCTGGAAGGCATCTCTGGATTCACCCCAGGCTGGGGGAAACTTGCCACCCTAAAGAGAGGGACATAAGCTTGGCTGGCTTTGCCACCTGCTGATTTTAGAGCCATAGGGCCTTGAGTGAACATAGGTAGTAGCCAGGCGGTGGTTACCATAGGCCTTGGGCAAGACCCAGTACTATGCTGGCTTCACGTCTGACCCTGCACAGTCCCAGTGGTGGTCACAGGGGTGTTTGTGTCACTTCTCCCCCAACTCCAGGCAGCTGATCACAGAAAGACAGACTTTGCCTGGGGGAAAATAAGGGAAGACAATAAGAGTCTCTGCCTGGTAATCCAGAGAATTCTTCCAGATCTTATCCAAGACCACCATGGCAGTGCCTCTATGAGTAATCAGTGTTAAGTTGTCAGCAGTTTAAAATAATGAGTGATAAAATATTATCTGCAAACCTCATGGTAACCTCAAATCAAAAAAGATACAACAGACTGTGAAAGAGCCACAGCATTTCTGTGCTTGGTGTGCCCTCTAATGCAGATACAGCTGCAGTGACCAAAAACTTAGATCACAACACCCAAGTTCCTTTGAATTCCTGGAAAGCCTTCCCAAGAAGGACAGATACAAACAGCCCAGACTGCAAAGACTATAATAAATATTTAACTCAGACACTGATGAACATCCACAAGCATCAGGACCAGCCAGGAAAACATGACCTCATCAAATGAATAAGGCACCAGAGGCCAATCCCAGAGAAACAGAGATATGTGACCTTTGAAACAGAATTCAAAATAGCTGTTTTGGTCAGGCACGGTGGCTCACACCTGTAATCCCAACATTCTGGGAGGCCAAGGTGGGTAGATCACTTGAGCTCAGGAGTTCAAGACCAGCTTGGCCAACATGGTGAAACCCTATCTCTACTAAAAATACAAAAATAGCTGGGCGTGGTGGCATATGCTTGTAATCCCAGCTACTCAGGAGGCTGAGGCAGGAGAATTGCTTAAACTTGGGAGGCGGAGATTCAGTGAGCCAAGATCATACCACTGTACTCCAGCCTGGGCAACTGAGCAAGACTCTGTCTAAAAAAAAAAAAAAAAAAAAACAATGTTTTGAGGAAACTCAAAGAAATTAAAGCTAACACAGAGAAGGAATTCAGAATCCTATCATATAACTTTAACAAAGAGATTAAAATAACTAAAAAGAATCAAGCAAAAATTATGGAGTTGAAAAATGATACTGACATACATAAGGGTGCATCAGACTCTCTTATCAGTAGAACTGATCAAGTGGAAGAAAGAATTAGTGAGCTTGAAGACAGGCAATTTGAAAATATAATCAGAAGAGACAAAAGAAAAAAGAATAAAAAAGAATGAAGCATGCCTACAAGATCTAGAAAATAGCCTCAAAACGGCAAATTTAAGAGTTACTGGCTGCAGCCAGGTGCAGTGGCTCACTCCTGTAATCCCAGCACTTTGGGAGGCCAAGGTGGGCAGATCATGAGGTCAGGAGTTCGAGAGCAGCCTCGCCAACATCGTGAAACCCCGTCTCAACTAAAATACAAAAATTAGCTGGACGTGGCAGCAGGCGCCTTTAATCCCGGCTACTCTGGAGGCTGAGGCAGGAGAATTGCTTGAACCTGGGAAGTGGAGGCTGTAGTGAACCAAGATCACAGCACTGCACTCCAGCCTGGACAACAAAGTGAGACTCTGTCTCAAAAAGAAAAAAAAAAGAGTTATTGGCCTTAAAGAGGAGGTAGAGAGAGAGATGGGGTAGAAAGTTTATTCAAAGTGATAGTAACAAAGACCTTCCCAAACCTAGGGAAAGATATCAATATTCAAGTATATGAAGGTTATAGAACACCAAACAAATTCAACCCAAAGAAGATGACCTCAAAACATTTAATAAACAAACTCCCAAGGTCAAGAATACAGAAAGGATCCTAAAAGCAGCAACAGAAAATAAACAAATAACATACCATGGAGCTCTGATATGTCTGGCAGCAGACTTTCCAGTGGAAATATCCTTGAAATATGAAGGAGAAATAAATATCCTTGAAAATATGAAGGAGAAATAAAGACTTTCCTAGACAAACAAAAGTTGAGGGATTTCATCAACACCAGACCTGTCCTACAAGAAATGCTGAAGGGAGTTCTTTAATCAGAAAGAAAAGGACATTAATGAGCAATGAAAAATAATTTGAAGGTGTAAAACTCACTGGTAATTGGAAGTACACAGAAAAAAAACAGAATATTGTAACACTGTAATCATGGTATGTAAACTACTCATATCTTGAGTGGAAAGACCAAAAGCTGAACCAGTCAAAACTAATAACTATAACAACTTTTCAAGACATAGACAGTACAATATGACACAAACACAAACAACAAAGAATTAAAAAGCAGGAGGACAAAGTTAAAATGTAGAGTTTTTATTAATTTTTTCTTTGCTTCTTTATTTATGTAATCAGTGGTAAGTTTTCATTGGTTTAAAATAATGGGTTATGTTGTGAATATGCCAAAAATAATAAAATAAATAATGGGTTATAAAATATTAAATACAAGCCTTATGGTAACCTGAAATAAAAAAGCATACAACAGGGGCCAGGAGTGGTGGCTCCCACTTGTAATCCTAGCACTTTGGGAGGCCAAAGCAGGCCTTTGGCTTGAGCTCAGGAGTTTGAAACCAGCCTGGAAAACACGGTGGTGAAAGTGCTGTCTCTACAAAAGTGCTTGTCTCTACCAAAAAAAAAAAAAAAAAATTAGCCAGACATAGTGGCACTCACCTGTGGTCCCAACTACTTGGGAGGCTGAGATGGGCAGATCACTTGAGCCTGAAAGGCAGAGGTTGCAGTGAGCCAAGATCGCACCACTGCACTCCAGCCTGGGTGACAAAGCGAGATCCCCATCTCAAAAAAAGTCCCCAAAACAACATACAACAGATACACAAAAAATAAAAAGCAAGAAATTTTTAAATACTACCAGAGAAAATCACCTTCACAGAAAGGAAGACAGGAACAAAAGAAGGAAGGAACAGAGGACCACAAAACAACTAGAAAACAAATAACAAAATGGCAAGAGTAAGTCCTTACTTATCAATAATAACATTGAATCTAAATGGACTAAACTCTCCATTCAAAAGACATAGAGTGGCTGAATGGATTTAAAAAAAAAAAAAAAAAAAAAAAAAAAAAGCAAGACCCGGTGATTTGTTGCCTACAAGGAGCACACTTCACCCATAAAGACACACATAGACTAAAACAAAGGGATAGAAAAATATATTCCATTCCAATGGAAACCAAAAAGGATCATGAATAGCTATGCTTACATCAGACAAAATAGATTTCAAGACAAAAACTATAAAAAGAGACAAAGAAGGTCATTATATAATGAAAAGAGGTTAATTCGGCCAGAGTATATAACAATTGTAAAAATATATGCATTCCAACTGGAGCACCCAGCTATATAAAGTAAATATTATTAGAGCTAAAGAGAGAGATAGACCCCAATACAATAATAGCTGGAGACTTCAACACCCCACTTTCAGCATTGGACAGATCATCCAGACTGAAAATCAACAAAGAAACATCAGACTTAATCTGCACTATAGATCAAATGGCTCTAATAGATTTTTTCTTTTTTGAGATGCAGTCTTGCTCTGTTGCCCAGGCTGGAGTGCAGTGGTGTGATCTCAGCTTACTGCAAGCTCCACCTCCCAGGTTCACACCATTCTCCTGCCTCAGCCTCCTGAGTAGCTGGGACTACGGGTGCTCACCACCATGCCCAGCTAATTTTTTTGTATTTTTAGTACAGATGGGGTTTCTCCACGTTAGTCAGGATGGTCTTGATCTCCTGACCTTGTGATCCACCTGCCTTGGCCTCCCAAAGTGCTGGAGTTACAGGCGTGAGCCACCGTGCCTGGCCAGATCTAATAGATATTTACAGAACATTTTATCCAATGGCTACAGAATACCCATTCTTCTCCTCAGCACATGGATCATTCTCAAGGATAGACCATATGTTAGACCACAAAATAAGTCTTAAAAAATTGGAATTATATCAAATATCTTCTCTGACCACAATGGAAAAAAACTAGAAATCAATAACAAGAGGAATGTTTGAAACCATACAAATATATGGAAATTAAAATATGCTCCTAAGTGACTGTGGGTCAACAAAGAAATTAAGAAGGAAATTTTTTAAATTCTGGAAACAAATGATAATGGAAACACAATATACCAAAACCTATGGGATACAGAGAAGGCAGTAATAAGAAGAAAGTTTATAGCCATAAGCACCTACATTAAAAAAGAAAAACAGAAAAACTTCAAATAAACAACATAATGATGCATTTCAAAGAACTAGAAAAGCAAGAGCAAGCCAAACCCAAAATTATTAGAAGGAAAGAAATAATAAAGATGAGAGCAAAAATAAATGAAATTGAAATGAAGGAAACAATAGAAAAGATCAACAAAAAGAAAAGTTGTTTTTTTAAAGACAAAAATCAACAATTCCTTAGCCAGACTCGCTAAGAAAAAAAGGAGAGAAGACTCATATAAATAAAATCAGAGATGAAAAAGGAAACATTACAACCAATATCAAAGAAATTCAAACGATCATTAGAGGCTACTATGAGCAACTACATGCCAATAAATTGGAAAACCTAGAAGAAATGGATACATTCCTAGACACATACAACCTGCCAAGATCGAACCTTGAAGAAATCCAAAACCAGAACAGACCAATAACAAGTAACAAATGAAAGCCCAGGACTCTATGTCTTCACTGCTAAATGTTACTAAACATATGAAGAAGAACTAATACCAACTGATATAGTTTCAATATTTGTCCCTACCCAAATCTCATGTTGAATTGTAATCCCTAGTATTGGAGGTGGGGCCTGGTGATAGGTGTTTGGATCATGGGGGCAGATCCCTCATGGCTTGGTGCTGTCCTCACAATAGTGAGTGCATTCTTGAGAGATCTGGTTGTTGGTAAAATGTGACACCTCCCCCCACCACCTCTTGCTCCAAATCTTACCATGTGAAGTGCCTGGCACCCTTCTGCGATGAGTAAAAGCTCCCTGAGGTCTCCCCAGTAGCTGAGCAGATGCCAGCACTATGTTTGTACAGCCTACAGAACCATAAGCCAATTAAAACTCTTTTCTTTGTAAATTTCCCAGACTCAGGTATTTCTCTTTTTTTTTTTTTTTTTTTTTTGAGACAGGGTCTCACTCTGTCACCCAGGCTGGAGGGCAGTGGTGCAATAATCTCAGCTCACTGCAACCTCCACCCCCTGGGTTCAAGCAATTCTCATGCCTCAGCTTCCTGAGTAGCTGAAAGAACAGGCATGTACCACCACACCCAGCTAATTTTCATATTTTTAGTAGAGATAGGGTTTCACCATGTTAGCCAGGCTGGTCTCAAACTCCTGGCCTCAAGTGATCTGCCTTCCTCAGCCTCCCAAACTGCTGGGATTACAGGCATGAGCCACCATGCCCAGCCTCAGTTATTTCTTTATAGCAATGCAAGAAAGACCCAAAACACCAACCCTACTCAAACTATTCTGAAAAATAGAGGAGGAGGGAGTATTTTCAAACTCATCTACGTGGCCAGTATTACCTTGATGCCAAAACTAGACAGACACATAAAAAAAAAAAAACTACAGGCAAATATCCCTGATGCAAAAATCCTCAGCAACATACTAGCACACTGAATTCAACAACACATTAAAGTGATTATTCATCTCATCTGCAATATCTTTCCAATGGAAAAAAAAAATCATTCATCATGACCAAGTGGGATTTATCCCAGAGATGCAAGGATGGTTGAACATACACAAATCAATCAATGTGATATATCATATCAACAGAATGAAGGGCAAAAACCATATGATCATTTCAACTGATGCTGAAAAAACAGTTGATAAAATTCAACATCCCTTCATGATAAAACCCCCCCCAAAAACTGGACATAGAAGGAACATACCTCAACACAGTAAAAGCTATATGACAAACCCACAGCTAGTATCATAGTGAATTAGGGGAAAACCTAAAGCCTTTTCTCAAAGATCTGGAACATGACAAAGATGCCCACTTCCACCACTATTATTCAAAACAGTACTGGAAGTCCTAGCTAGAGTAATCAGACAAGAGAAAGAAATAAAGAGCATCCAAACTGGAAAGGAAGAAGTCAAATTATCCTTATTTGCAGATGATATGATCTTATATTTGAAAAAAACCTAAGGACTCCACCAAAAAACTATTAGAACTGATAAACAAATTCAGTAAAGTTGGAGGATACAAAGTCAACATACAGGCCAGGCATGGTGGCTCACAGCTGTAATCCCAGCACTTTGGGAGGCCAAAGTGGGCTGATCACTTGAGGTCAGGAGTTCAAGACCAGTGTGGCCAATATGGTGAAACCCCATCTCTGCTAAAAATACAAAAATTAGCGAGGTGTGGTGGCACATACCTGTAGTCTCAGCTACTAGGGAGGCTGAGGCAGGAGAATCACTTGAACCCAGGAGGTGGAGGCTGCAGTGAACCAAGATGGCACCACTGCACTCCAGCCTAGGTGACAAAGTGAGGCTCCATCTCAAAAAACAAAAAGAAAGAAAATAAAAAGAAAATCAACGTACAATCATTTATTTTACAAATAATATTAAATTTAAATACCTAATATTAAATACCTTCTTAACCAAGAAGTAAAAGATCTCTACGATGATAACTATAAAACACTGATGAAAGAAATTGAAGAGGACACAAAAAAATGGAAAGATATTCCATGTTCATGGATTGGGAGACTCAATATGTTAAAATATCTATACTACCTAAAGCAATCTACAGATTCAATGTAAACCCTATCAAAATACCAATTACATTCTTCACAGAAATGGAAAAAAAATCCTAAAATTTATATGGAACCACAAAAGGCCCAGAACAGCCAAAACTATCTTGAGCAAAAAGAACAAAACTGAAGAATCACATTACCTGACTTCAAATTATACTACAAAGCTGCAGTAACCAAAAGAGCATGATACTGGCATAAAAACAGACACATAAACCAATGAAACAGAATAGAGAACCCAGAAACAAATCCATACATCTACAGTAAACTTATTTTCAACAAAGTTGTCAAAAACCTACATTGGAGAAAGGACACTCTCTTCAATAAATGGTGCTGGGAAAACTGGATATCCATATGCAGAAGAATGAAACTAGACCACTATCTCTCACCATATACAAAAATCAAATAAAAATGGAATAAAGACTTAAATCTGGCTGGGCATGGTGGCTCACACCTGTAATCCTGGCACTTTGGGAGGCCAAGGTGGGTGGATCTCTTGACCAGGAGTTTGAGACCAGCCTGGCCAACATGGTAAAACCCTGTCTCTACTAAAAATACAAAAAATTAGCTGGGCATGTTGATGCACACCTGTAATCCCAGCTACTCAAGAGACTGCGGCATGGGAATCACTTTAAGCTAGGAGGTGGAGGTTGTAGTGAGCTGAGACCACTGCACTCTAGCCTGGGTGACACAGTGAGACCCTGTCTCATAAAGAAAATAAAAAGACTTAAATCTAAGACCTCAAGCTATGAAACTGCTAAAAGAAAACATTGTGGAAACTCTCCAGGACATTAGACTGGGCAAAAATTTCTTGAGTAATACCCTTAAAGGCTTCTGCACAGCAAAAGAAACAATCAACAAAGAGAAGAGATAGCCTACAGAATGGGAGGAAATATTTACAAACAAATCCATCTCACAAGTATTAATAATAAAAATATAAAATGAGCTCAAACAACTCTATAGGAAAAAAATCTACTAATCCAATTTTAAAAATGGGCAAAAGATCTGAATAGGCATTTCTCAAAAGAAGACATACAAATGGCAAACGGGTATCTGAGAAGGTGCTCACCATCATTGATCATCAGACAAATGCAAATCAAAACTACAATGAGATATCAGCTCACCCTCATTAAAATGGCTTTTATCCAAAGGACAGACAATAATGAATGCTGGTGAGGATGTGAAGAAAAGGGGAACCTTCATACACTGTTGGTGGGAATGGAAATTAGTATAGCCACTAGGGAGAACAGCTTGGAGGTTCCTCAAAAAACTAAAAATACAGCAATCATATGATCCAGCAATCCTACTCCTGGGTATATACGCAAAAGAAAGAAAATCAGTATATCAAAGAGATATCTGCATTTTCATGTTTATTGCAGCACTATTCAAAATAGTCAAGATTTGGAAGCAACCTAAGTGTCCATCAACAGATGAATGAAGAAAATGTGGTACACATACACAATGGAGTGTGTTTGGCCATAATAAAGGGTGAATTAAAGGGTGAATTCTTGTCATTTGCAGCAATATGGATGGAACTGGAGGTCATTATGTTAAGTAAGCCAGGCATAGAAAGACAAACTTTGTGTGTTCTTCTCTGTGGGAGCTAAAAATTACAGCAACTGAATTCATGGAAATAGAGAGTAGAATAATGGTTATCAGAGGCTGGGAAGAGTAGTCGGGGGAGGGAGAAGGAGAAATGGTTAATGGATACAAAAATATAATTAGAATGAATAAGATCTGGTATTTGATAGCACAACAGGGTGACTAGTGTCAACAGTTTATTGTATAGTAAAAATAACTAAAATAGTATAATTGGATTATTTGTAACACAAAGAAAGGATAAATGCTTGGGGTAAGGGATACACCATTTTCCCTGATGTGATTATTATACCTGTATCAAAATATCTCATACACTTCATATATATATATACACACACACCCATTATGTACCCATGAAAATTAAAAATAAAATTAAAATTAAAAAAATTTAAAGACAGAAAATAAAAATAAAAAAATTAAACAAAATGACCAAGCCAGGCATGGTGGTATGCACCTGTAGTCCCAGCTACTTAGGAGGCTGAAGCAGAAGGATCACTTGAGCCCATGAGTTCGTGACCAGCCTGGGCAACATAGCAAGAGCCCCATCTCAATTTTTTAAAATAATAATAAAAAAAAAGTGGGAAAGCTGCTGACCCAAACTACACAACAACCTAGAAGGTAGGTGTTATTTCCTTTACAGATAAGGAGACCGAGATGCAGAGAGGTAAGATACTTCCCATGATTTCACTGAGCTGGGATTCAAATCTTGGTCTAGTGGATTCCAAAGGCCTCAATCTTTCCGCTAGAAAATAACTCTTGGCACTTTCCGAGAAGGGATCCATAAGAAGTAATTGGGAGGCTTTGGAGACCAGGGCAAGAATAGAAGCAAATGAGAAGGTGAGGGGGATGTAGCTACAGAGCAACCAGCACCAAGATATGAAGCAAATGAGAAGGTGAGGGGAACTAGATACACAGGAGCCAGCAACAAGATGTGTAATATTATTTTTTTAACTGACATTTACTTTTTTCTGTTTATAAAAGTAATATATGCACATGATGGAAAATTGGAACATACTAAAAACTATAAAGAAGAAAATTAAGGTTGGTTCAAGTACAGTGGTGTTTACAACTAATTCATCACAGTCACAGATTTCTTTGTTCCTTCTCCACTTCCACTGCTTCACTTGATTGGTCAAAAAGGAGAAGAAGGAAGAAGAAGGAGGGAAAAGAAGGAGGAAGAAGAAAGAAGAAGAAGGAAGAAGAATGAGCAGGAGCAAGAAGAAGAAACAAGAAAAGGGAGGAGGAAGAGGAAAAGGAAGAAGGAGGAAGAGGAGAAGAAAAAGAAAGGAGGAGGAGAAGGAGGAGGAGGAAGGGGAAGAGGAAGAGGGAGGAGGAGGAGAAGAAACAGGAGGATGAGAAGGAGGAGGAGGAGATAGTTAAAACCATTGTTAAATGGTATAATTTAAGGAGTTTGAAGATTGCTACCTGCTCCAAAGTACCTCTTGGTTAAATCTGTTTTGGAACTCAAAATCCTCAATCTTATGTGTTAATTCTATTAAATTCAGCAAATTTTGGTTAAGTGCAGGCTTTGCGGCAAATGTAAGTACTTCTAAGGAATTAAAAGCAGAAGACGCCAGACCCTGCCCACCAGGAGATTCCAATCTGTAATTAAAATCAGCCCAATAATTAATTTATGAGCAGCTACCTAAGATGTTCAGCCTGACTGACTTTTCAGATTTGAGAGCTGTTACATAATGGGCAACAGGCCCCCAAAAAAATAGAACACAAAGAGGGAGATTTTTTTTTTAATTGGCAGTTACCAAGTCAGACACCATACCTTGGAGGGGGAAAAAAAATCTCCCAGGATCCATATGAGGCGAGTACTATTATCTTTATTTGGGGGAGAATGAAAGGAAAGACAAAAGTTGGGAATTAAAGTATCCAGTAGGCAGAGAACCTGTCCCACAGGCTTGTGTGTAACCATTGCAGTCTATCAGATGCCAAATTTGTTTTTACTGGGAAAATTATATAAGCTTGATGTAAAAAAAATCAAGTAGTACAGAAATATAAAAATCCTAATTTCTCCCAAATCCTCTCCCAGTAATAACCATAATTTTACATGTATTATTCATCCTTAATTATAAGCCTATTAAAAGCATAAAAGGAATCAGAGGTAGCATCACCTGTCAGCTTGAATGCAGAAATGGATTAGGTAAATGTTGAAGCCAAAATCTCTTAATTGTGTGGGAGTAGTAGGACAGACCCAGAATTTTCCCTGGGGAAGATTATACCCAGTTACTAAATTACTGGCACAGCTTCCTTTAGGGATGTTTTCCCTTGTAGGTATAGTACTTCGCTCTTCATCTCAGTTCCTACTTAAAACTGCAGAATTCTAACCTGGATATTTTCTATCTTGCCTTGGATTCCGTGCAGCACTATTAAAAAATCAACATTCTCCTCCAAATATTCTTTTTCCCTTTTGACAAATGCTTCTCAGCCATAGCTTCCCACTTTCCAGCTTGTGGAGCTGACACTTGCCTCTGACCAGTTAGTGTGGGGTCCTTTCTGGCTGCCCCCTGACACTGTTAGACCTGCTTCCAATCAGGTGCTCTCTATTCTCTGGTGGTTTGGATCTTTCTGAACTCTTCCCCTAAAACAACTGTGAGGAAACCAGGAAGAATTATTTGGTAAAGAATCAGAAGTTTAAAACAAAATAAACAGCACAAAATGGTGAGAGATGTGTCCACAGATCCATCATAGACACAGAAGGACCAGGTATGTCCACAGGAGTAAACAGAACTTGGTGGGCTTGTGACTGTTTTTGTTTTGAGTTTAGGAGTGGAGGCTTAATAGGCAAAAGAAAGAGAAAGGAAAACAGCTGTCTCTGTAGTGACAGAGAGGGAACTTCTGAGGAAAAGGCCAGCCGGCAGCCGGTGCCCTGGATTTTATACTCAGGCTTTAGGAGGCAGTGTCTGATTTATGTAGGGCTCACAGATTGGTTCCATCAGGTATGACATTTACAGAGGTGAGGGGAAGGCTGGCCATCCCACCCTAATCTTATTATGCAAATGAACTTTCCCCTTGGCCAGCGCCATCTTGTCTGCCCCTTACTGTAAAAGTGGCTGACAAAGAAAAGGGAAGATGGAGCTGCCATCTTGAACATGATTGGCTCAACTGCAGGCATCTGTGTCTGCAGCTCAATTTTGCAGGCTGCTCTTTGTTAGAAAGGAAAATAATTTGGGGCTGCTTTTCATTAAAAGAAAAACTTCTGTACCCTAATTAATTTCTTAACTCCTGTATCATTCCCCCCTCTGGAGTGGTAACCCTAACTGCTTTTTTTTTTTTGAGGGAGTCTCGCTCTGTCGCCAGGCTGGAGTGCAATGGTGCAATCTTCGGCTCACTGCAACCTCCACCTCCCGGGTTCAAGTGATTCTTCTGCCTCAGCTTCCTGAGTAGCTGGGACTACAGGCACGTGCCACCACGCCCAGCTAATTTTTTTGTATTTTTAGTAGAGACCGGGTTTCACCATGTTGGCCAGGATGGTGTCCCTAACTGCTTTTAGGGGGTGGTGGACGATGACTCTTTCTGGCTACTTCATGCTGAAAAGGGGTGTTGTGTGGGTAACAGCAGCTAAGGCTCCTCCTGGGGTTGATCTAAGGGTCCTCGGAAGAAAGGCATGTCCATGTGTGGTTCTGTCTGCAGCACCATTTGGAGTTTGATTGGTGTCAGCCATTCCAATGGGTCGTAACAGTGGTTTGCCTCCACCAGATGTTGCCATCCCTTTTTGTTTCTTCAAGTTGCAGATCATCACTTGATTCATAGGAATAAGCAGGGTTAGTCTAAAATGTAGGCAAAAGCTTGTAAGTTTCCTTGACTCATTTCGATGAATGCTGTACTTTGGTATCCTGGATGAGGTCCTCAGTAAGAAGTGGCTATGTTGACTGGGGTAAATACCCAGGGTTTGTCGTCTCATGCCAGGAAAATGTAGGAGACAGACACACACACAAGGAGTTTAGGAGCGGAAGTTTAAGAGGCAAAAGAAAGAGAAAGGAAAACAGCTCTCTCTAGTGAGAGAGAGGGGACTTCTGAAAGGAAAAAGCTGTGACTGCTTTTATTTCATGATTTCTTATCATCATTACTATTATTGTTTTAACTGTGGATCAACTTGCCACAAATGAGTTTGCTAAAAGACAATTTATCATATGTCAAATTAGCCAAAAATCTATTTATCTAATGACCACTGACAGCAAAACCTGAGGTGGGACTGCCCCTCTGCTCATCCAACATTCTGCAAGTGTGAGTGGGGGAGGTGGGTTCCACCATCTATCCCCGGAAGCCAGGCCATGACAGGCAGGAGGTGGCTCAGTCAGTACATAACTCAGAGTTTAGTAGGGGGAAGGGAAGGTTCCACAAAATTGGGATTATTTTATATGTATATTCATTGAATTTGCTTATCTTAATGTAATAAAATATTGATATTTTCCATGTCACTTGATACAGAACTGGCTTCTAATTATTGACATTTTTAGGCTGGGTGTGGTGGATCATGCCTGTAATCCCAGCACCATGGGAGGATGAGGCTGGCAGATCACCTGAGGTCAGGAGTTTGAGACCAGACTGGCCAACGTGGAGAAACCCTGTCTCTACTAAAAATACAAAAAAAATTACCCGGGCATGGTGGCACATGCCTGTAATCCCACCTAATTGGGAGGCTGAGGCAGGAAAACCGCTTGAAGTGCGATTGAAGTGAGCCAAGGTTGCAGTGAGCCAAGATCACGCCATTGCACTCCAACCTGGGAGACAGAGCGAGACTCTGTCTCAAAAAAAAAAAAACAGAAAAAGAAAACATTTTTTGGACTTTTCTCTATATCATGCCTTGTGGTAGGCAGAATAATGCCCCAGAACCTGCAGAAACATTACTTTACATGGTATAAGGGATTTTGCAGATGTAATTAAAGTTAAGGACCTTTTACAAAGGAGATTATCAGGAATTATTTGGGTACGCCCAGTGTAATCACAGGGGTCCTTTAAAGCAGAGAACTTTTCCTGATGGTAGTCAGAGGGAGATGTGACTGCAGAAGAATGGTCAGAGATGCCACAAGCTGGCTTTGAAGATGAAGGAACAGGCCATGAATCAAGGGATGCAGGTGGCCTCTAGAAGGTGGAAAAGCCAAAGACATGGGTTCTCCCATAGAGTCTCCAGAAAGGAGTGCTTCTCGGCTGCCACCTTGATTTTTAGCCCCATCATATTTGTGTTAGACTTCTGAGCTACAGAAATACAAGATGATAAACTGTTTTCTTAAGCCACCAAGTTTTTGGAAATTCGTTACAGCAGCAATAGAAAATTAGTTCTTCCCCTTTTTCCAGAATCATGGACATTTTGGCCTTGGTTTCCAGGAGCTTAGTTCAGTATAAATATTTGCCTTTTCCAAGTCAAGTTTACCTCTTGGTTAACTAGGCTCTGGCTACACAGAGCATTCTGAGCACACTCATGTTGGAGGCAGGTTATCATCAGCTCCATAGCTGAGGAAGGTAGGAGTTTTGCCAAAGCCTGGCTTGGTCAGGAGCCCTGGTCTTCCCCTCCTATCACTGCCACAAACTGAGCTGAGTTAGCCCCAGTGATGTGGGCCCAGCACATCACATGAGAATCACAGGCCAGAGTCCTGGCAGTGCTGCCATTTCTGAGCCATTTCTCAGATGTCACGCTCCAAATGGGCCAGACCACTCCTGCTCTACCTGCTGTTGCCAGTGTTGAAGAGGAACAAGAGTAAGAGGAGGGGCCTCCAGCCCCCAAGACAAAGATATCCCAAAGTTTTGGTTTTCTTCTTCTTAGCCTGGCCTAAATGCCTCTACAACCTGGCCCCAACCTATCCATCTGATCTCAGTGTTCACCACAGTCGTTCAAGGATTCTTTACTGAGTGCCTGCTAGCTCCTCGGCACTGGGGAAAGTTCCTCCTCTGGTGAGCTCATAGGCTCTGGTTATAGGCAATATATAGATTATGATACCAGGAAATTAGCCCCATCAGGAGGAGCCTGCAGAAGACTTAGTGTCAAGGTAAAGAATATGAACTTTATCCTTTAGACTGTGATGCAGGTACCAACAGAGCTGGTTTTTTTGTTGTTGTTGTCGTTGGTTTTTGTCTTTGGGGTATTTTTTGTTTGCTATTTTACAAACCTTATCCACATAGCTTTATTTTTTCTAATTATAAAATTCATGGCCATTATGAAAACTTCAGACAATAGGTAAGGATAAAGATAAACATTTAAATTACCTGTTATTCTATAAACCAAAGATAACCACTGCTAATCCATTGTTTATTCTTTCTCTATTTATATACAGATATGAATATGAATATATATGTTTACAAAGATGCAATCATTGTGCAGAGATTTCTCTGCAAACTGCTTTTTATTTAACCGTTTATCATGGACAGTGTATCTATTTCTATAATAATAGAGATCTATATTGTTTTTTCATGTGTTCACAGTATTTCATTGTATAAAACATGCCATACATTTTTACCTAATCCTGTATTGAAGATGTTCGCAGTTTTTCCCTATTATAATTCAGGCTACACACTGTGAAACTGCCTCCAGAGTCTTTGTACCAGGTTATCCTCCCTCTATAAAATAAGGACGATATTTATCTCCCCACACTCTTCCCCTAGCTGGTCATTATCATCAATTGTATCTCCTTGTTTTACTTTGTATCTTATTTATTTATCTATTTATTTGAGACAGAGTCTCTTTATGTTGCCTAGGCTGGCCTTTTCTTAGCCTCCTGAGCAGATGGTACTACAGGTGTGTGCCACCGTGCCCAGGTTTACTTTATATTATTTTTAAATTTAATTTAATTTTTTTTTTTTTTTGAGACAGAGTCTCACTCTGTGGCTCAGGCTGGAGTGCAGTGGTGCTGTGATCTCAACTCACTGCAACCTCCACCTCCTGAGTTCAAGCAATTCTTGTGCCTCAGCCTCCCAAGTAGCTGGGATTACAGGAACATGCCACCACACTCAGATAACTGTTGTATTTTTAGTAGAGACGGGTTTTTGCTATGTTGGTGAGGCTGGTCTCGAACTCCTGACCTCAAGTGATCCGCCTGCCTTGGCCTCCCAAAGTACTGGGATTACAGGCATGAGCCACCATGCCTGGCCACAATCTGTTTTAAAAGTTTCTCCTGCCTAGAAGTTTCTCTGTAAGCGTAGCAGTTATAGATTAATCACAGAAAATCTTTTTATGTTATGTTATAAATCATTGGACAATTACCTATTATGGATTGAACATAGGTTTGGTAGACAAAATCTCAACTTTTCTCTGTCTATATGTGCACCTTTCCTGTAATGTAAATAGAGGCATGGTTTTGAAAAACAATAACATTTTTGAGTTTTTTATAACCAAATATATTTTAACATAAAATATCAGTTAAAAAAAGTAGTTTTATACACTTAGCCTATATTCCCCAAAGCTCATATTTTTATAATTAATTAAAATATAAATTTAAATTATTATTTAAATTAGGACAGTTTTTCTATTTGAAAAAGTAAAAAGCATGGTCAAAGATTTCTCAGTCTCCATAAGGACACAGACATTCTGTGTTAACAGACATTCACACTTAACTAAAGTAAAGAATTTTCAAAGTAAATGTCAGAGAAAATAGCAAACTTATTTTTATGTTATCTGTCAACAGCATTATGTTAATTTTGACATGGTTACTGATTGGATAATATATGATAACAAGCAGTTGTGAAGAAGCTATTGCTAAAAAGATCTGAGCTTAACATAAATATCTCTTTTTCTGAACTCTTAACATCTTCAGAAACAACAAAAATAATTTTTACCCATAAGTTTTTTTAAATGACTTTCAAAGGTAAATTTAAGATTACCAGATAAAAATAAAGGCATGGTGGCTCAGGACTGTAATCCCAGCACTTTGGGAGGCCAAGGTGGGAGGATCACTTGAGCCCAGGAGTTCAAGAGCAGACTAGACAACATTGTGAGATGCTGTTTATACCAAAAAAAAAAAAAAAGCCAGGCATGGTTGCGTGTGCCTGTGGTCCCAGCTACTCAGGAAGCTGAGGTGGGAGGATCACTTGAGCCCAGGAGGTGGAGGCTGCAGTGAGCTGTGACTGTGCCATTGCCCTCCAGCCTTGGCAACACAGTGAGACCCAGTCTCAAAAAAAAAAAAAAATTATTTTGACTTTATTTGTGGTTTTATATTTGCCACTCAGCAATCTTAAATTTTTTTGTAGACAAATTTGTCAGCCACCCTTCATAGCCTATGGATTTGGGGTGATAGTTAGAAGGTCCGTCTTTACATTTAGAAAACACTCACTTTTTTTTGAGACGGAGTTTCGCTCTTGTTGCCCAGGCTGGAGTGCAATGGCGCTATCTCAGCTCATGGCAACCTCCGCCTCCCATGTTCAAGCGATTCTCCTGCCTCAGCCTCCCGAGTAGCTGGGATTACAGGCATGTGCCACCATGCCTGGCTAATTTTGTATTTTTAGTAGAGATGGGGTTTCTCCATGTTGGTCAGGCTAGTCTCGAACTCCTGACCTCAGGTGATCCGCCCACCTCGGCCTCCCAAAGTGCTGGGATTACAGGTGTGAGACACCATGCTTGGCCAACATTCATATATTTTCTTTTAGTATTTTTGAGATTTTCTTCTTATTATTATACTTTAAGTTCTGGGGTACATGTGCAGAACATGCAGGTTTGTTACATAGGTATACATGTGCCATGGTGGTTTGCTGCACCCATCAACCAGTCATCTACATTAGGTATTTCTCCTAATGGTATCCCTCCCCTAGTCCCCCACCCCACAACAGGCCCTGGTGTGTGATGTTCCCCTCCCTGTGTCCATGTGTTCTCATTGTTCAACTCCCACTTATGAGTGAGAGCATGCAGTATTTGGTTTTCTGTTCTTGTGTTAGTTTGCTGAGAATGGTGGTTTCCAGCTTCATCCATGTCCCTGCAAAGGACATGAACTCATCCTTTTTCATGGCTGCATAGTATTCCATGGTGTATATGTGCCACATGTTCGTTATCCAGGCTATCATTAATGGGCATTTGGGTTGGTTCCAAGTCTTTGCTGTTGTGAACGGTGCTGCAGTAAACATAGCTGTGCATGTGTCTTTATAGCAGCATGATTTATAATCCTTTGGGTATGTACCCAGTAATTGGATTGTTGGGTCAAATGGTATTTCTGGTTCTAGATCCTTAAGGAATCACCACACTGTCTTCCACAATGGTTGAACTAATTTACACTTCCACCAACAGTGTAAAAGCATTCTTATTTCTCCACATCCTCCCAGCATCTGTTGTTTCCTGACTTTTTAATGATCACCATTCTAACTGGCATGAGTTGGTATCTCTTTGTGGTTTTGATTTGCATTTCTCTAATGACCAATGTTGATGAGCTTTTTTTCATATGTTTGTTGGCTGCATAAATGTCTTCTTTTGAGAAGTGTTTGTTCATATCCTTTGCCCACTTTTTGATGGGGTTGTTTGCTTTTTTCTTGTACATTTGTTTAAGTTCTTTGTAGATTCTGGATATTAGCCCTTTGTCAGATGGATAGATTGCAAACATTTTCTCCCATTCTGTAGGTTGCCCATTCACTCTGATGACAGTTTCTTTTGCTGTGCAGAAGCTCTTTAGTTTAATTAGATACCACTTGTCAATTTTGGCTTTTGTTGCCATTGCTTTTATTGTTTTAGTCATGAAGTCTTTGCCCACTCCTATGTCCTGAATGGTATTGCCTAGGTTTTCTTCTGGGGTTTTTATGGTTTTCAATCTTACATTTAAGTCTTTAATCCATCTTGAGTTAATTTTTGTATAAAGTGTAAGGAAGGGGTCCAGTTTCAGTTTTCTGCATATGGATAGCCAGTCTTCCCAACACCATTCATTAAATAGGGAATCCTTTCCCCCACTGCTTGTTTTTGTCAGGTTTGTGAAAGATCAGATGGTTGTAGATGTGTGGTGTTATTTCTGAGGCCTCTGTTCAGTTCCATTGGTCGATATATCTGTTTTGATACCAGTGCCATGCTGTTCTGGTTACTGTAGCCTTGTAGTATAGTTTGAAGTCAGGTAGCATGGTGCCTCCAGCTTTGTTTGTTTGTTTGTTTGTTTTTGCTTAGGATTGTCTTGGCTATGCGGGCTCTTTTTTGGTTCCATATGAAATTTAAAGTAGTTTTTTCTAATTCTGTGAAGAAAGTAAATGGTAGCTTGATGGGGATAGCATTTTTTTTATTATTATTATTATTTAGCTAGTTTTTTTTTTTTTTTTTGAGACAGAGTCTCGCTCTGTCACCCAGGCTGGAGTGCAGTGGCATGATCTTGGCTCACTGCAAGCTCTGCCTCCCGGGTTCACGCCATTCGCCTGCCTCAGCCTCCCAAGTAGCTGGGGCTGCAGGCACCCGCCACCACACCTGGCTAATTTTTTGTATTTTTAGTAGAGATGGTTTTCACTGTGTTAGCCAGGATGGTCTCAATCTCCTGACCTCGTGATCTGCCTGCCTTGGCCTCCTAAAGTGCTGGGATAGCAGAGAATCTATAAATTACTTTGGCCATTTTCACGATATTGATTCTTCCTATCCATGAGCATGGAATGATTTTCCACTTCTTTGTGTCCTCTCTTATTTCCTTGAGGAGTGGTTTGTAGTTCTCCTTGAAGAGGTCCTTCACATGACTTGTAAGTTGGATTCCTAGGTACTTAATTCTCTTTGTAGCAATTGTGACTGGGAGTTCACTCGTGATTTTGCTCTCTGTCTATTATTGGTGTATAGGAATGCTTGTGATTTTTGCACATTGATTTTGTAGCCTGAGACTGCTGAAATTGCTTATCAGCTTAAGGAGATTTTGGGCTGAGACTATGGGGTTTTCTAAATATACAATCATGTCATCTGCAAGCAGAGACAATTTGACTTCCTCTCTTCCTATTTGAATACCCTTTATTTCTTTCTTTTGCCTGATTGCCCTGGCCAGAACTTCCAATACTATGTTGAATAGGAGTGGTGAGAGAAGGCATCCTTTTCTTGTGCTGGTTTTCAAAGGGAATGCTTCCAGTTTTTGCCCATTCAGTATGATATTGGCTGTGTGTTTGTCATAAATAGCTCTTATTATTTTGAGATACGTTCCATCAATACCTAGTTTATTGAGAGTTTTTAGCATGAAAGGGTGTTGAATTTTGTTGAAGGCCTTTTCTGCATCTATTGAGATAATCACGTGGTTTTTGTCATTGGTTCTATTTATGTGATGGATTACGTTAATCGATTTGTGTATGTTGAACCAGCCTTGCATCCCAGGGATGAAGCTGACTTGATCATGGTGGATAAGCTTTTTGATGTGCTGCTGGATTTGGTTTGCCAGTATTTTATTGAGGACTTTCACATCAATGTTCATCAGGGATATTGACCTTTGAAATTTTCTTTTTTTGTTGTGTCTCTGCCAGGTTTTGGTATCAGGATGATGCTGGCCTCATCAAATGAGTTAGGGAGGATTACCTCTTTTTCTATTGTTTGGAATAGTTTCAGAAGGAATGGTACCAGCTCCTCATTGTACCTCTGGTAGAATTCAGCTGTGAGTCCATCTGGTCCTGGACTTTTTTGATTAGTAGGCTATTAATTACTGCCTCAATTTCAGAACTTGTTATTGGTCTATTCAGGGATTCAACTTCTTCCTGGTTTAGTCTCGGGAGGGTGTATGTGTCCAGGAATTTATCCATTTCTTCTAGATTTTCTAGTTTATTTGCATAGAGGTTTTTATAGTATTCTCTGATGCTAGTTTGTATTTCTGTGGGATCAGTGGTGATATCCCCTTTATCATTTTTTATTGTGTCTATTTTATTCTTCTCTCTTTTCTTCTTTATTAGTATGGCTAGTTGTCTATTTTATTGATCTTTTCAAAAAAACAGCTGCTGGATTCACTGATTTTTTGAAGGGTTTTTCATGTCTCTGTCTCCTTCAGTTCAGCTCTGATCTTAGTTATTTCTTGTCTTCTGCTAGCTTTTGAATTTGTTTGCTCTTATTTCTCTAGTTCTTTTAATTGTGATGTTAAGGTGTCAATTTTAGATCTTTCCTACTTCCTCTTGTGGGCATTTAGTTCTATAACTTTCCCTTTAAACACTGCTTTAAATGTGGCCCAGAGATGCTGGTACGTTGTGTCTTTGTTCTCATTGGTTTCAAAGAACTTATTTATTTCTGCCTTAATATTGTTATTTACCCAGTAGTCATTCAGGAGCAGGTTGTTCAGTTTCCATGTAGTTTTGCAGTTTTGAGTGAGTTTCTTAATCCTGAGTTCTAATTTGATTGCACTGTGGTCTGAGAGACTGTTTTTTATGATTTCCGTTCTTTTGCATTTGCTGAGGAGTGTTTTACTTCCAATTATGTGGTCAATTTTAGAACAAGTGCGATGTGGTGCTGAGAAGAATGTATATGCTGTTGATTTGGGGTGGAGAGTTCTGTAGATGTCTATTAGGTCCACTTGGTCCAGAGCTGAGTTCAAGTCCTGAATATCCTTGTTAATTTTCTGTCTCGTTGATCTGTCTAATATTGACAGTGGGGTGTTAAAGTCTCCCACTATTATTGTGTGGGAGTCTAAGTCTCTTTGTAGGTCTCTAAGAACTTGCTTTATGAATCTGGGTGCTCCTGTATTGGGTGCATATATATTTAGGATAGTTAGCTCTTCTTGCTGCATTGATCCCTTTACCATTATGTAATGCCCTTCTTTGTCTCTTTTGATCTTTGTTGGTTTAAAGTCTGTTTTATCTGGGACTAGGATTGCAACCCCTGCTTTATTTGCTTTCCATTTCCTTGGTAAATATTCCTCCATCCCTTTATTTTGAACCTATGTGTGTCTTTGCACATGAGATGGGTCTCCTGAATACAGCACACTGATGGGTCTTGATTTTTTTCTTTTTTTTTTTTTGAGACAGAGTCTCACTCTGTTGCCCAGGCTGGAATGCAAAGGCGCAATCTCAGCTCACTGCAACCTCTGCCTCCTGGGTTCAAGCAATTCTCCTGCCTCAGCCTCCCAAGTAGCTGGGATTACAGGTGTGTGCCACCAGGCCCAGCTAATTTTTTGTATTTTTAATAGAGATGGGGTTTCACCATGTTGGCCAGGATGGTCTCAATCTCTTGACCTCGTGATCCACCCGCCTTGGCCTCCCAAAGTGATGGGATTACAGGCGTGAGCCACCGTGCCTGGCAGGGTCTTGACTTTTTATCCAGTTTGCCAGTCTGTGTCTTTTAATTGGGGCATTTAGCCTGTTTACATTTAAGGTTAATATTGTTATGTGTGAATTTGATCCTGTCATTATGATGCTAGCCGGTTATTTTGCCCGTTAGTTGACACAGTTTCTTCATAGTGTTGATGGTCTTTACAATTTGGTATGTTTTTGCAATGGCTGGTATCGGTTGTTCCTTTCCATGTTTAGTGCTTCCTTCAGGAGCTCTTGTAAGGCAGGCCTGTTGGTGACAAAATCTCTCAGCATTTGCTTGTCTGTAAAGGATTTTATTTCTCCTTCACTTATGAAGCTTAGTTTGGCTGGATATGAAATTCTGGGTTGAAAATTCTTTCCTTGAAGAATGTTAAATATTGGTCCCAACTCTCTTCTGGATTGTAGGGTTTCTGCAGAGAGATCCACTGTTAGTCTGATGGACTTACCTTTCTGGGTAACCCAACCTTTCTCTCTGGCTGCTCTTAACATTTTTTCCTTCATTTCAACCTTGGTGGATCTGATGATTATGTGTCTTGGGGTTGCTCTTCTCGAGGAATATCTTCGTGGTGTTCTCCATATTTCCTGAATTTGAATGTTGGCCTGTCTTGCTAGGTTGGGGAAGTTCTCCTGGATAATATCCTGAAGAGTGTTTTCCAGCTTGTTTCCATTCTCCCCATCACTTTCGGGTACACCAATCAAATGTAGATTTGGTCTTTTCCACATAGTGCCATATTTCTCAGAGGCTTTGTTCATTACTTTTCATTTTTTTTTTCTAATCTTGTCGTCTTGCTTTATTTCATTAAGCTGATCTTCAATCGCCGGTATTCCTTCTTCTGCTTGATCAATTCAGCTATTAATACTTGTGAATGCTTCACAAAGTTCTTGTGCTGTGTTTTTCAGCTCTATCAGGTCATTTATGTTCTTCTCTAAACTAGTTATTCTAGTTAGCAATTCCTCCAACCTTTTTTCAAGCTTCTTAGCTTCCTTGCATTGGGTTAGAACATGCTCCTTTAGCTTGGAGCAGTTTGTTATTACCCACCTTCTGAAGCCTCTTCTGTCAATTCATCAAACTCATTCTCTGTCCACTTTTGTTCCCTTGCTGGAAGGAGTTGTGATCCTTTGGAGGAGAAGGGATGTTCTGGTTTTTAGAATTTTCAGCCTTTTTGTGCTGGTTTTTCCTCATCTTCATGGATTTATCTACCTTTGGTCTTTGATGTTGGTAACCTTCGGATGGGGTTTCTGTGTGGATTTTTTTTTTTTTTATGTTGATGCTATTCCTTTCTGTTTGTTAGTTTTCCTTCTAACAGTCAGGCCCCTCTGCTGCAGGTCTGTTGGAGTTTGCTGGAGGTCCACTCCAGACCCTGTTTTCCTGGGTATCACCAGCGGAGACTGCAGAACGGCAAAGATTGCTGCTTGTTCCTTCCTCTGGAATTTTTGTCCCAGAGGGGCACCCACAAGATGCCAGCCGGAGCTCTCCTGTATGAAGTGTCTGTCGACCCCTGCTGGGAGGTGTCTCCCAGTCAGGAGGCATGGGGGTCAGGGACACACTTGAGGAGGCAGTCTGTCCCTCAGCAGAGCTTGAGCACTATGCTGGGAGATCCGCTGCTCTCTTCAGAGTCAGCAGGCAGGAATGTTTAAGTCTGCTGAAGCTGTGCCCACAGCTGCCCCTTCTACCAGGTGCTCTGTCTGTCCCAGGGAGATGGGAGTTTTATCTATAAGCCCCTGACTGGGGCTACTGCCTTTCTTTCAGAGATACCCTGCCCAGAGAGGAGGAATCTAGAGAGGCAGTCTGGCTACAGCAGCTTTGCGGAGCTGCAGTGGACTCCACCCAGTTTGAACTTCCTGGTGGCTTTGTTTACACTGTGAGGTGAAAACCACCTACTCAAGCCTCAGTAATGGCAAACGCCCCTCCCCCCACCAAGCTCAAGTGTCCCAGCTTGACTTCAGACTGCTGTGCTGGCAGTGAGAATTTCAAGCCAGTGCATCTCAGCTTGCTGGGCTCTGTGGGGGTGGGATCCACTGAGCTAGACCACTTGGCTCCCTGGCTTCAGCACCCTTTCCAGAGGAGTGAATGGTTCTGTCTCGCTGGCATGCCAGACGCCACTGGGGTATGAAAAAAAAAACTGCAGCTAGCTCAGTGTCTGCCCAAACAGCTGCCCAGTTTTGTGCTTGAAACCCAAGGCCCTGGTGGCATAGGCACCTGAGGGAATCTCCTGTTCTGTGGGTTGTGAAGAGGATGGGAAAAGCGTAGTATCTGGGTCAGAGTGCACCGTCCCTCAAGGCACAGTCCCTCACAGTCCCTTGGCTAGGAGAGGGAGTTCCCCAACCCCTTGCACTTCCCGGGTAAGGCAATGCCCCACCCTGCTTTGGCTCACCCTCCGTGGGCTGCACCCACTGTCTAACCAGTCCCAGTGAGATGAGCTGGGTACCTCAGTTGGAAATGCAGAAATCACCCACTTTCTGTGTTGATCTCTCTTGGAGCTACAGACCAGAGCTATTCCTATTTGGCCATCTTGCCAGCCACCGTTTTGAGATTTTTTTTATGTTTAAATCTTTGCTCCATCTAGCATTTACTTTGGCATAAATATGTCTTCAATATAGAAGTTTAACTTTCTTTAGTGAAATCTACGTATCTTTTCTTTTATGATTTCTGGCTTAGATATTCTGGTTTGTTTCTTGGAATGAAATTTCTTGGGAAGAACGTGAGGAGTGAGCTGGAGTAGGACACACCCAGGTGGCTGGCAAGAAACCCCTCTGAAGAAGTCTCTCTCTCAGGGAAAGGTCCATAATTTTCCATTCCAGTTCAGCTCAGTCAACATCTACTAAGAACCTACTCTGTTCCAGAGACTGTGTTAAGTGCCAGGGGCACAGAGATGAGGAACATCTCTGCTTGCAAGTGGGAGTGACAAATTTAGAAACAGAATGACGACACAGTGTGGTAGGTGCAATGAGCAAAAAGCATAAGGATCAGTGAGCACACATAAGGGTGCCTATCCCAGGCTGGAAGGGAAAAGCCTATCTGAGAAGGCCTCCTGGAGGAGATGAATCCTGGGCCGAGTTTGTTTTTCCCATTTGAATAACTAGAATATTAGAATAAGACCATTCAATAAAGACAATTCTGAAATCACCTTCCAATTAAAACAACTCTTACTTTGTAACTTCATGTTGCTTATATGACATAATGCACAGCATATTACCTGCTAAGATACACACTTTCAATATCATTGGAAAGACAGAACTGGAACAGAAAGCTGCCTTAATCAACAACAGAATATAGCTCCCAGACCAAGGGCGAGAGGTCTCCAGTGTAGGGACAACCTGGTGCACAGCGATTACGAGAGAAGGCTAAAGTGGAACCCTAATTTCTCCATGCAGCTAAAA
The DNA here is from genome assembly GCF_000001405.40 of Homo sapiens. Classification (NCBI taxonomy): domain Eukaryota; kingdom Metazoa; phylum Chordata; class Mammalia; order Primates; family Hominidae; genus Homo; species Homo sapiens. The sequence continues at coordinate 5,271 of NT_187605.1, read as the reverse complement.
GCAGTTTACTATTTCTGAAACTCAATCTAGAAGGTAGGGAACTTTAAGATAGGAGACTGGTTGCTTTCTATGACAGTCAGGGCCAGATTGTAAAGGGGCTTATGCTTTATGTAAAGAATGGGACATGAGAAACACTGAGGTGTTGTAAGTTGAGGGGTGTCTGATCTGACAAAACAACTTGGAAATCATCAGCATGAGATGAGATTGCCCAGGGATATCAGGTTGCAGAGGATTTAACCTTTGCAGATCCTTGATCCCTTTGAGGATGTGATAAAAGCTACAGATGCTCTTTCCAGAAAAACAAACATACTGAAAACCACACCAACATATACACAATTTCAGGGGATCCTCAGATTAAGAATATTTGATATATAGAGGACTGAGAAGTAGCCTGAGGAAGCGGATATTCAAAGGATGGGAAGAAGATGAGGGGAGCAGGAAAAGGGCCAAAGAAAAATGACCCAAGAGGTACTGGAAGAGCCAGGAGACAAGTGTTGGGAAGCTGTGGGAGCACAGAGATCCAAGGAGGATGTGATCAGCAGTGTTGAATGCTGTAGAGATGTCAGCTAAGGTCAGGACTGAAACATGTCTTTTGCACTTACAGTTAAGAAATCACAGCCGAGAGAAGTGGCTCACATCTGTAATCCCAGCACTTTGGGAGGCCAAGGTGGGAGGACGACTTGAGCCCAGGAGTTTGAGACCAGTCTGGGCAAAAAAGCGAGACGCCATCTCTATAAAAATTTTAAAAATTAGCTGGGTGTGGTGGTGTATGCCGTAGTCCCAGCTACTTGGAAGGTTGAGGCAGGAGTCCAGAAGTTCAAGTTTGCAGTGAGCTATAATCGTGCCACTGCACTCCAGTCTGGGTGAAAGAGCGAGACCCCATCTCTAAAACTAAAAAGAAAGAAAGAAAAATCACTGGTAATGGTATTGAGAAAAGTCTCTGCGGAGTAACTAGTAATGTTAGCTCCAGATATACTTTTTCAAGCCCGAGAATTATATAGGTGGCATCTAGGTGGAAGTAAGGGTAGGGGACTTGTCTTGACCCTGCATTTGCAGAGAACTAATACGTCAAATAATTGTCAATTGTCCAGAAAAAGTGTTGAAGGGGCTTATGGAGATTATGTCTGTTTGTCCCTGTTGCCACCACTATAATGGAGTCAAAAGCCAGAAAGCAACAGTTGAAGGAATGATGTGAGGAAATGGAGAAGTTTGGTTTGTTAGGTAGGAGAGACCTGAAGGGCAGTTAAAATAAGAAACAAAAACAAGACAGGGATTTGTCTCCAAGAAGTGGACACATCCTGATATTTCTATCCTATACACTAAGAAAAAGAAAGGGGAAAACAGAGAGGCTCAAGACACAGAGAAAAGTGGCTGAAGGGCCAAGCATCCAGGAAGAGAGTCTGGACTTGAAGAGGAGGAGAGCCCCCCACCTGGAAGTGCAAGGTGGGGGGCCTGTGGCTGTGTATAATTTCCTCCAAGTATGAATTGAAGTGGATCAGCCCCAATGGCCTCTATTTTCCCCATAACATAAGAGGTGAGGTTGACTGCTGAGAGTAGAGATGGGAGTTGTATGGAAGACTGGAGGAGGACAATGCCTATTTTTTAGAATCACTGATGAGGGATGTATGGGAAAGGCAGCTAAACAAGGACAAATTAAAGAACAGCTCAGCAGGCTGGTGATGGAGCAGTGTCAGTCATGGTCCCGACAAGAAGCAGATGGCACATTCAAGTGGTGTAACTGAGGAGCATGTCAGGAAGAGAATATTCACCAAGGTGTGAACAGGGTGAAGGGAAACTCATAAAGGCCAGTGAAGCACCCTGGAACTAGCAAGAGTGGGGAGCCTTTCCCACCCCCAGACCTCAGGGGCAAGAGGAGGGAGCAGATCCCAGATCCAGAGGGAATTGGGGTAATTTAGGAGAGGGCTGCCACACTGGAACTCATACAGCACAGATGCTGACATTATCTGAAGCCAGGCAGCCCTCTCTGTCTCCAGGTTCTGGTGACTGCTCCATCCTCTTGTCCCAGTCCCAGGGGATTCTGCTATTACTTGTGGTTTCACTATACTCTTTCTATACTTTTATAAATATAACTTTATTAGATTATCCAGTTTGAATACACCATCTATTTCCTGAAGGAAACCTGACATACATGGTTCTTTAAAAAGACTAATAAAATAGACAAACTCTAGAAAGAAGAACAAAGGAGGAGATGAATAATATTAGGAATAAAAAGGGAGACAAAGGGCCGGACGCAGTGGCTCACGCCTGTAATCCTAGCACTCTGGAGGCCGAGGCAGGTGGATCACTTGAAGCCAGGAGTTTGAGACCAGCCTGGCCAACATGGCAAAAGCCTATCTCTACTAAAAAAAAAAAAAAAAAAAAGAAAAAGAAAAAGAAAAAAAAAATTGGCCAGGCACGGTGGCTCACGCCTGTAATCCCAGCACTTTGGGAGGCCGAGGTAAGTGGATTAGCTGAGGTCAGGAGTTCAAGACCAGACTGGCCAACATGGTGAAACCCCTTCTATACTAAAAATACAAAAATTAGCCGGGCATGGCACACCCCTGTAATCCCAGCTATTCAGGAGGCTGAGGCAGGACAATTGCTTGATCCCAGGAGGCAGAGGTTGCAGTGAGCCGAGATGGTGCCACTGCACTCCAGCCTGGCTGACAGAGCAAGACTCTGTCTCAAAAAAAAAAAAAAATTAATTGGCCAGGCATGGTGGTGTGCACCTGTATTCTCAGCTACTCTGGAGGCTGAGGCAGGAGAATTGCTTGAACACAGGAGGTGGAGGTTGCAGTGAGTTGAGATCGTGCCAATGCACTCCAGCCTGAGTGACAGGCAAGACTCTGTCTCAAAATAAACAAGTAAATGAAAGGGGGCAGGAGAGACAAAGTACAGTTATAGCATGGATTTTTAAATACACTTATACTATGAACAACTTTATGCCAACAAATTTGAAAATTTATAAGTAATGGACAAATTCCTAGAAGATATATAACTTAAAACTCAAGAAGAAATTGAAAGCCAGACTAGATCTACTGCTATTAAAGAACCTGAAACAATGGATAAAAAATCTCCCCATAAAAGAGTGTTTTATGTAGCAAATGTAAATATTTCTAATGTCATTTTTTTTCTTTAAGAAAAAATTTTTAATAGAGATGGGGTCTCACTATGTTGTCCAGGCTTGTCTTGAACTCATGGGCTCAAGCTATCCTCCTGCCTCAGCTTCCCAAAGTGCTGGGATTACAGGTATGAGCCACTCTAATGTCTTTTTAAAATCTGACCCAACAATCCTGTGTACCTGTGTGTACTTCTTATTCTAGAAGAAGCTCTAACAGGCTGTGGGAAGCATCTGCTTTATTCACTGTTTACCCCAAGCCTAACATAGGCTTGGCTTGAACTTAACATAATGAAATGATGGCAGGAAAGTTAGAACATCTAGGGGATCAGTAGACATATGAGACTTCAGATAAGGGTAGGGGACCTTCATAAAAAACAGTAGGTCCCAAGTGAAACTCCAAACAGCCAGGGCAGGGCTGTGATCTTTAAGACTGAGCCCTAGTCCACCTGCTTTGGTACTAGTCAGTACCAGAAGTCCCTTCAGAATGAAAATCTTCATGCAACAAGTTTCTCCTTAAGATCTAGTCTCTACAACAACCTAATGAATCACCTCTGGAACACTGAAATTCACCATGTGGTCCTTTTGTTAATAGTGCTAAAGTACGTTATTAGGAAGTTCCTGAGAGAAACAGCTGAATAACATTACCAAAAAGGCCAGAACCCAGCTGGGTGTGGTGGCTTGTGCTTGTAATCCCAGCCCTTTGGGAGGCCAAGGCAGGTGGATTACTTGAGGTCAGGAGTTTGAGACAAGCCTGGCCAACATGGCGAAACCCTGTTTCTACTGAAAAAAAATATATATATATACAAAAATTAGCTGGGCATGGTGGTGGCCGCCTGTAATCCCAGCTACTCGGGAGGCTGAGGCAGGAGAATCTTGAACCCGGGAGGTGGAGGCTGCAGTGGGCCAAGATCATGCCACTGCACTCAAGCCTGGGTGACAGAGTAAGATGCTATCTCAAGATATATGAGAAGTTTTTCAGTAACTTTCAAGCTACTTATATTTGTTCCCCCACCCATATAGTTATGACCTGCAGTAAAACTTCTGAAACAAATATTTTCCTTTAAAGGCACCAAGAATCATGGTCTTATCACCATGACAAGAGGGTCCTAACTTTCATTTTTGATGTAGGGAAATTAACTTAGTTTTTATTCTTATTCAGAAGTTCTACAAAGTCATGTGGGTTTCAGCTGAACACAGGATGTGGGCACAGAACCCAGGGTTGCTTGAGGGTTAGATGAGACTTGGGAGGGTGTTGGGTTTTGCCTACCAGGAGCAGCTATGTTTTTGTTTTTGTTGTTGTTGATTTGTTTTTACTCCTGAGCTTCTGGACCAGTTTGCCATTAGAGCAGCCAAGAAGATGTAAGACTGTGTATCTCATGCAAAAGTGTTTTTACCATGAAGATCTGACTTCCAAATTCACAGGGGTCTCTCATCAGTCAGAGCTGAGTAGCTGACTTAAGCTCACATGACCCGGTGAAGGGCAAGCATCATCAGGTGGACTTGAGGGCTTCAAGTACGCTGCCCTGAAGCGCCAGGAATGTGGTTGCTAGGCATCCTCCCCAGGATCTACCCAGGACTTTCCTATCCAATTTTGTTGAAGCAAAACCTAGGGATTAAATTAAATGCAACCTCACAAACTACCAATGAAGGGTGTGGAAAACAGGGATCCTCTTTTTAACTATCTGCCCCCAAATATCAATCCCAATAAACTGTACTAAAAGCCATGGATGGCTAAAAATGCAGTTTATGTCTTTTCTCCATTCAAGCGTTTTTTTAATCATTAAACTATGTTCTCATATTTCCATCAGGCCCCAATGGATGGAGGATGCTAGCCCTTTAATGGGTGAGCAGGGGAGGAGCTGGGACTTTTAAAGCCAGGAGCGGCAAACAGGTCCTGGCCCAGGCTGCTATGAATAACTTAAACAGAAAGGACAGCAACAGTCAGGTGGTGGGTGTCGGCAGCAAGGCATCACCACACTCGGACGGTGACTGGTGATGTCGGTTGGGAAGTACTTCTCTTCCTGCTTCTAGCCTGTGCCTCATTTCTGTCCCTTTGTGGGACAGCTCCCTAGAGCCGAGCTGGGAGGGTGGGTGTTTATGGCAGTCTGAGACCCCAGGGTCTCTCTCCTCAAGACCATGGCCAAGAATTC